>NT_187510.1:0-36723 GCF_000001405.40 Homo sapiens | reverse complement strand
CCTCATTAAATGCACTAAAATCTAAGGTGTTTTCATTTTCAAAATAATTTGTGACTTATAAACCATAAAGCAGGCAACAGTGACACATGAGAAATAACATAAACTTACAAATTGCAAAAATTATGTGTGACTCCACAGTCACACACATTAAGCCACCAATGCAGCTGGCCCTGTCGCTAACCGCTAGTAGGCTCCTAGCACACCTGCCATTCTAATGCTTTCCCTCGCTCATTCATGTTTCTGGGAGGCTCCTTCAGATTCTCTCTCCTCTTAAGCCTCTAATGTTTTCTCTCCCATCCTCACTCTCAGTTAATGACTTTGGGGTATATGTCACTGAAAGAAAAACAAATTTAAGCCAAAACCAGAATAAGATGAGAGCTTCTGCAAACTGCTACTTCCTCATCACCCCCCACCTGGATCTATGTCCAAACACTGTCTTCCTTTTTGTTACCCATAAGCTAAACTGGAGCACTAAATCCCAATGTCTCTCTCGAATTCCAGCAATTCTCCTTCTACCTCCCACAATGTCGACTTTTCTGTCTCTACTGGAGTGTTCCTATCAACATGCACAGTTGAATTTTCCCATCTGGCACTACCTGTCCTGATCTTATGTTCCTTTCAAACTACTGCACTATTTCTGCTTTCTTCAGAGTGGAATTCTTTGGAAGGGTTTTCATATTTACCATCTCCAATTTCTGTCTTCATTTTTCCTCTCAGATCCACTAGGTCTGACAGTTTCCTCTGTCCTTTCACAGAAATTGCTCATTTCAAAATGTGAATATCTTCCATGTTGTTATAGCCCATGATCAATTCTTAACCCTCTTCTCACTTAGCCATGAATAGCATTTGCACAGCTGGTTGTTGCCTGACCCTCAAACACTTTCTCACTTGGCTCCATGACACCCCAGACTTCTTGGTTTCCTTCCTTCATCGTTGGCCTCATTTCTCCCTCTGCTTTGCGGTTCCTGCTGTTCACCCTGTGCTTTACACGCTGCAACAGCTTGGGGGCTAGTCCTCTGACATCTTCTCTACCCGCATGTACTCCCTTAGGGATTTCAAACAGTCTCATAGCTTTAAGCACCATCCATACACTGACGACTCCCAGATTCAAAGGTTTAGTCCAGACCTTACCCTTGAACTCCAAATGGGTATACCCACGTACCTAGGAGATAATCCTTACACTCCCTTCTTTCTCCACTATGCTTAATTTAATCTGTCAGAACGTCTGTGATTCTACCTTCCAAATAGATCCATAACCTGACCCCTCTTCACCACTCATCTTGCTACTCCTGGTCCAAGTCACCTCCACCTTGCACTTGGATTATGGCAATAGTCTCTTAACTGTTCTCCCTCTTCCACTGGTTCTTCTTAGTCTTCTATTCATTACGTAGGGATCCTGTTAAAAGACAGGTCTGGTAATATCAGTCCTTTGTAAACATGTCCAATGGCTTCTCACCACAATCAGTAAAAACCAAAAACCCTCCATCTGGTGGCCCCCAGCCCCTTCCTTCTCCACCTCACATGTGCTTCCTTTGCTCACCCTCTCTTGACTGCTTCCTGCTCTTCAAACGTGTTAGGTTATGCTCCTTCCTCTGGGCCTCTGTCTGCAACATCCTTTCTCCAACATCTTTGTGGGTGGCTCTCTCACTTCTACAGGTCTCGCTCATGGGCCTTCTGGCGAGCCCTTCCCTGATCACCGTGCTTGCATGGCAGGCTGGCACTCTGTCTGCCCTGTTTAGTTTTCTTCACGAGATCAGAAAGTCCTGTTTGTCTTGTTTACTGCTTTATGACCAGGGCCTAGAAGCACTTGGCACAACTAGGCATTCAGTACAGATTTATTAATTGAATGAGTAAATAGCAGTTGTGAATCAGAACACAATGGAATCTATGTCTCCAAAACTTTGTGATGAATAAAACTGGCTAAAATATGAGAATTTTATGTACCTTAGTCACATATCATAAGATTTTCTAAGTAGAATTCATACTTGGTTGCATGTCCTAAGATCTTTTTAGGGAGGTTTCCTCTTTCTAAGGGGATTCAAAGATATCAGTGAAACCTGAAAATTGTCTTGGGTTAAGTAGTGCATTGTGGAGTACCAAATGGCATGAAAGAACAAAACTGCTGTCACTGTGACTGCCATAGTCAATGTCAATGTTGGATATGACTGCATGAGCTGACAGCCCCTGGAGCATGTGAAATATATGAAATGCACACTGGACATAACAGAGCATTTTTGCAGGGAGCTGGACCAACTCTTTTATATGACTAAGATGCTATTTGCAATTTATATAAAGGAAAAAAGCAAATATGCTCCATGCAGTGCCTAAAAGAGCCCTAGT
Source organism: Homo sapiens (assembly GCF_000001405.40). NCBI lineage: Eukaryota > Metazoa > Chordata > Mammalia > Primates > Hominidae > Homo > Homo sapiens. Next base: position 34,383 of record NT_187510.1, on the reverse strand, counting down.
GGCTTCAGGGTAGAAAGCCATCCCACTTCTCTTCAGCAGAGCATGAAATCAACCTACTACCTTTTATCAGGTTACTTACATAAAGGAATTGTGCCTATTAATAAAACATCATGCATCTTGTTTCTCCAAGAGCAATGATAACCAAACTCTCCTTTCCCGTTCCCTCTTCCTTCCTTCTCTGGGGTCAATTTTTGCTGCCCTGTGTTCTGTTCAGCATGCATTAGCCATGAGGATCAGATTGTTAGTCCAGATGACTTTGAAGTAGTTTTTCTTATGGTAAGGTTTTCTCCTAAGTCTGTAGCATAGAATCCTTGTTTTGGGGTTGATCCATGCCTAACCTGAAGATGATAGAATGCAAATTCTGCTTTACATTTGTGTATATAAATATTGCATCAGTCACATGTCCATTTTGGTGGCAACATCGTCTGTGGTTTTCTTAGCTGCCCTGGGATCAGATTTGCTTAATCATGTTCCCTTTTCTTTCAGGTTGTGCTTGGCTTCTTGCTGCCCACACCTACTCCATGATTTCGTGCTAATTTCTGCCCTTCTTCTCAGTTAGTGAAAGCTTCCCCGCACTCATTATCAGCACACTTGAATGTCCACTTAGTGTCAGACGTACAATTTTTAAAGTGAGAATTTCATCCAGGACTTTTACAAAGCCTCTCATGTGGCCACAGACTGCAGTTAAAAAACTAGCCTGTTAGAATGGTCACCTTGACATCATAGTCCAGAAGTGTCCCAATAATGGATGTGCAAAAAAGGAGTTAAAAAATGAGAACACCAGCCCACAAAGAATGGTACCACCCAAGCATTTGGACCAAGTCCACAGTTTTTATGTTTTTGTGCCACATAGCATAGACAGCCTAATATATTTAAAGTAACACTTAAAATGTACTTTAGGGATTCAAATTTTAGCTCCTTGTTTCTGTTTGCTAATACAGAACATAAATTTTGAAAAAATAAACTTTTAATTGAAAATTTTACAAAAAGTAAAATAAAAAACTGCTTATATTTCCATCCAAGGGAAAGAAGATACACATAGTAAATACTTTAAAAGTATGTATATTCTTTCACCCGCTTTTAGGATTTATCCTAAGTATAACTAGCTGTTTTATAAAGATGTTCATCATCATTATTTACAGTAAGAAAAAATGAACCTAAATGTTGACAGAATTCACGGAGTGAGCTATGGTGCCTGCACACAGTGGGGAATTACGCAGGACTGAACACTATGTTTAAAAGCACTTTTAATGGCATGTCAAACACTTACTCTAATATGGAAAATACAGTGATTTCGTGGATATACAAAAACATCCTCATTTTTGTGTAATCGTGTATCATATATGATCCTAAGTACGTAATACTAAACATGAGAAAAAATGCTTGCTAAAAACAGACCAAAATGTAGAGGGCTGCCACTGTGTGGTGTGATCGGGTGACTTTTTGCCTTTTAATTTATATTTTTGTTGGCACAGAACATTGTTCTCATGTGCCCGAAGAGATTTAAAGATGATCTTGAGACAATTAGCCTCCTCTCAGAGTCCTGCCGGGGTAGGTAACAGGGAAGATTGGGGCAGGTCAGAGGTGACTCCGGGACGTTTGTGCTTGGTGCCCTGCTGCGAGGGACAGCGGCTCCGCAGCTCCAGCCCACTGTTCGTCACAGGTCCTTGGTGACTGTCTTACCAGTTATTTTCAAATTCAAGATAAAACGGAAATACAGACTTTCACATAAAACTTTCTACATTTAACTACCAGCAATTACATTTTTTGTCGTAAAACAAAGGGTAAGTCAAACAAAACGTCTAAGAGTAAATCTGTCTACAGTGTGTTCAGGAAATGAACACAGGTCAGGTTTATGTGGAAGATATCCAGGGCGTAGCACATCTGCTGGAAGCATTTCAGTCATGAGCACAGCTGGGTATTGGCCGTGAACCTGGTGTGCACTGAATACACACCCCGTGGCCCCTACAGTGCATTCCCTGTGGATAGTTTATTAGGTTTCCTTTATTCCCTTCATCTATTCTTCCCTTTCCTTTCTTCCTTCCTCTTTTTTTGCCTCCCTCTCTCTCTTCCTGTCTTTATTAAATATATGGGATGCAGATTTGATGAATATGTCAATCAAAGATCACCAAGAAGTCTTAAACAGGTAAACCACAGAAAACAGTCAGGATCAGAATAAGAACACTGTTTAGTGGTTCTCAAGCTTTTTGTTCTCAGAACTTCTTTATAATCTAAAATGTGTTGCACCCCCTGAAAAGCTTTCACTTTTATGGGATAAAAATAAATATTTATAAAATATATAGTAAAAAATATAAATATATAAATAAATTTATGATTTGTTTATATAAATATGTATATAAAACCATATTTATCATACTAAGATTTGAAATGGACAAATATTTAAAATATTTATTAGTTAATTTTAAATAATTACCAACCTTTCAAATAAATAACATTTTAATGAAAATTAAAAAAAATTAAATTCCGCCTGGCGCAGTGGCTCATGCCTGTAATCCCAGCACTTTGAGAGGCCGAGGCGGGCGGATCATTTGAGTTCAGGAGTTCGAGACCAGCCCGACCAACATTGTGATACCCCATCTCTGCTAAAAATCCAAAAAAATTAGCTGGGTGTGGTGGCGGACACCTGTAGTCCCAGCTACTCGGGAGGCTGAGGCAGGAGAATTGCTTGAACCTGGGAGGCAGAGGTTGCAGTGTGCCAAGATGGTGCCACTGCACTCCAGCCTGGGAGACAGAGCAAGACTCTGTCTCAAAAAAAAAAAAAATTAAATTCCAATTTAATTTTTATTTTAATTTATTTAGTTCTAAAATTATATTTAATTTTGTAATTTATTTTAATCGTATATTAATCACATTTATTTTAAAACCAAATAAATGTGTTGAGAAGAGAGAAATTGTTTTACATTTTTGCAAATCTCCTTAATGTGTAGCTTAATAAAAGATAACTCTACTATTCTGTTTCTGCATTTAATCTGTTATGAAGTCACCTATCATGAATCTTCTGGAAAATTTCATGTATATTTGTGAGAGAATGAGGGTAAAAATGGCGAATAACATCTTAGTATTATTATAAAAGTCATTTTGGCCTCCTGTTGCCACTGAAAAAGTCTCAGGATGTCCCAGGGGACTTTGGCCCACACTTTGAGAATCAATGTTCAGGCTCCTTTCTGAGCTGATTATGTAGCTGAGCACGCTGAACGTCATGTGATTGAGAACCTGCCCCTTCCAGCCTTCATCTCTTCCATTAGCTTCCCTAAACCATTCATTTTTTAGGGCATTATTTTCTATCAAATACAAACACCAGTGGAAGACAGAACACATGAAGCCATTAGTAGTTTAATGCCTTAATGTGAATAAATTTAATTCATTTCAATTTGAGAGTCCATGGGGTCACAAAGGAGATGAAAGAGAAAGTACAAGAGCCAGACATAAGGTTGGAAAGAACCCTGTCCCCAGTGAAAGGCCAATTTTTTCTTTCACAGCATCGTCTTGGAACAACCTGCTTTCTGGATTCTTAGCTCACAAGTTTGAAAAGGAGCCATTCCCTGATCTATTTTAATTGCTTATCTTCAAAAACTGTCTGAACTACGGTACCCTGTGGCTACTACCTTCCAATTTAGGACTCAGGTTTCCAGGAAAAGAAAAGAGTTACAACTACTAATAAAAGTCAGTCAAAGTAACTGCTCCTCTTTGAAAGTTTCAGCTCTTATTTTAGATATGGGGGTTCACATGCAGGTGTGTTACATGGGTGTATTACACCCAGCTAGTGAGTATCGTACCCCTGGCTAGTTTTTCAATGCATGCCCCTCCCTTCTTTGCCCCGCGCAGTCCACAGCGCCTGTTGTTCCCATGTGTACGTCCATGTGTGCTCAATGCATAGCTTGGAGCTCCCACCTATAACTGAGAACATGCAGTGTGTAAACCCCACTAATTTCTATGAAAAAGTATTTCTGTTGATAACCCTGCAGGAAGCTCTTTATTAATGTCTTCATCCTTTAAACCTACTTAGCCCTATGCTGCTTTAGTCACCTGTACTTTTTTTAAAAACTGTTTTTTTCTCTCATTCTGACTTACTTATCCTTACATACATTGCTATTTCTTCATTCCTAAGGAAGTACGCATTCGATTTAAGCATCTGTGCTGAGATAAAATTAAATTCTAGTCTTTTTTAATGGGGCAAAATGGAAATATAATCTCAGGTAATGCTTTCCAGTTCAGCTTACTGCTGGTTTTTGCAGATGGAATTATAAACATACTTAATCAGAGGGAAATTCCAATACACTTTAGCCACAGGATATTCGTGCCTTTGCATGGGAAGAATTGATCTCTCCTCAAGCTAGCTGCAACCTGCGTCTTCTGAGGGAAGAGCTGTCTTCACCTGCGTGGGATGAATTTGAGGGATCACTGGCCTTGCCGTCTGAGAGTGCGGTCCCTGAGCTGGGAGGATTCTGCTGAGATTAGGTCATGCGATCAGCCTGAGGTTGCGACCATGGGGGTGAGCTCAAATTATAGTTTTGGTACCATGCCTGAGTTTAGTCGGCAAAAGTAATTCACACCAGAGGGGGAATGTGCAAGAGGTCAATAACAGAATGAGAAATCAGGGGTAGGGAAAATGCAGGTTGTGAAAGACGATGAAGTGATGATTAGAGACAGGCTAGGGTGGCCTACCAGTGGTGAAGTCCTGGGAGTGAAGAAGACGTTTGCTTCATAAATAAAGAAAGTCTTCTGTGCTGCAGGAGAATCAACTGTTGAGAGGGGTGAACGGATGCAGAGTAGTTTCCCTGTTACCACGTCCAAACAGACGTTTATTTGCTGGTAACTGCCATTTCAAAAATACCACCGGAATACTCACTATTTAAATGTTTTTATTACACCACAACTTTGGAAAACATCTCTAAGCCAGGCATATAAGCCAAGGTTACATAGTATGTCAGGAAAGGTATAACCATTAAATTATTTAACTGTGTTTTGTCTATGATTTTTAAGAAAAAAATCTATATTTTCTGCGAGTAGTGAGCAATACTTATCAATTGGTTAGTCACTTGTGTCTGCGAGTTTCATCACCAGCATGATCGGAAAGGTATCTCCCCTCAGCTTCATTTGCAGAGAGGCCTGAGTCGCTCTCAGCCTCCCCCATTTCTGCGCTGCAGCTTCTGGGGAGCCCCTGACACCACAGACCCCAGAGCAGCCCCTGCCGACAGCGTGCCTGCTCCGGACAATCCCGAGCTAAGGATCTGTTAGTATTAACCGGGATTTTCTGTCTCGTATAACGCATGGAGCAGTGTTTCTTAAAGAATGAATTTGTGAAGAAAATGCACAGCTGCCCCAAACACTGTAGGCACTGAACGAGCACTCATGGCTTCTCCCTTTGCAGAAATCTCTGTGGACTCTCCTGTTCGTGGGAGGAGTGCCTTTTTCTGGGGTGTAGTGGCTTCCTCTCCATGCTCACCTCGCACACTCCCGGCTCTGCCTCTGCCCTCGGGCCACCGGTCCCCCAGTCGTGCCACGTCCCTGCTGCCTGAGGGGATGCTTGCACGGCTCCCTCTGCCGGGACTTTCCACCTAGATGCTCGGCCTTGACCCCTCACTCACATACCCTTTTCTTCACAACTCTTTCCTGACTCTCGACACCATCCTACACTCACAGAGTACTGCACGCCTTTCTGACATAGCCGTGTGTCGGTGTGCTGTGTGAAGTGTTTTTGTGTATATGACTACTTGCATGTTACAGCAGTGTGTCAGTGTGCTGTGTGAAGTGTTTTCGTGTATCTATCTACGTGTAATAGCGTGTCAGTGTGCTGTGTGAAGTGTTTTTGTGTATATGACTATTTGTTATAGCAGCGTGTCAGTGTGCTGTGTGAAGTGTTTTCATGTGTATATGACTATTTGCATGTTATAGCCATGTGTCGCTGTGCTGTGTGAAGTGTTTTCATGTGTATATGACTATTTGCATGTTATAGCAGTGTGTCAGTGTGCTGTGTGAAGTGTTTTCATGTGTATATGACTATTTGCATGTTATAGCAGGGTGTCAGTGTGCTTTCATGTGTATATGACTATTTGCATGTTATAGCAGGGTGTCAGGGTGCTGTGTGAAGTATTTTCATGTGTATATGACTATTTGCATGTTACAGCAGTGTCAGTGTGCTGTGTGAAGTGTTTTCGTGTATCTATCTACGTGTAATAGCGTGTCAGTGTGCTGTGTGAAGTGTTTTTGTGTATATGACTATTTGTTATAGCAGCGTGTCAGTGTGCTGTGTGTTTTCATGTGTATATGACTATTTGCGTGTTATAGCCATGTGTCGCTGTGCTGTGTGAAGTGTTTTCATGTGTATATGACTATTTGCATGTTATAGCAGGGTGTCAGGGTGCTGTGTGAAGTGTTTTCATGTGTATATGACTATTTGCATGTTACAGCAGTGTGTCAGTCTGCTGTGTGAAGTGTTTTGTTTATGTGACTATTTGCATGTTACAGCAGTGTCTGTGTTGTGTGAAGTGTTTTGGTGTATATGACTATTTGCATGTTTTCTGCACACTAGATGGAGTGCAGAGTGTGTTGCCTGTTTTTCTCCACCGCTCCATCCTCAGTGCCTGCTACGGTGTTGGACACACAGTAGGGGTTCAGTAAATGCTAATGAACAGTTGATTAAATGAGCAAAAACCTTTATTGAATACCTACCATGTTCCAGACATGGCTAACTGATGAGAATTTACCAATTACATGCTTGCTGCCTTCAGGGAGCTCGACCTCACAAGACAGACTGTCACGTAGAGACAACTGCTACACAACATGGGAAGAACTGCTATAGAGATGTAAAGATGTAAAGACCCAAAATGAAGAAGCCAGAACACATGAACACGAAACCAGCCAACCAACAAACACAAGCAGCATGGAGCATAGAGTCTGGGGACCAACTGCAGGGTGCTGAGGAATGCAGGTGGAGGCAGAGTGGAAATCACCTGAGTTTCCATCAGGCAGAGTTGCGCTTGAATTTGAGTTCTGGCATTTGCTGAGCCTCTCTGATTCTGCCTTCTGTAAAATAGGAGTAATAATATTTATTTATATCTACCGTACAGGCAATTGTGAGATTTACTTAAGACATACTTTGTCCATTTTTCTGTTGCTTATAACAGAATACCTGAAACTAGGTGACTTATTTTTAAAAAGCTAATTTCTTAGAGTTATGAAGGCTCAGAAATCCAAGGATGGGGGTCTGCAGCTGGTGAGGGCCTTCTTGCTGATGGGAAATCAGAAAAGCCCTAAGGTGGTTCAGAGAACCACATGGCAAGGAGGCCGAGAATGCTAGCGTGTTAGCTCAGATCTCTCTTCTTCTTATAAGGCCACCAGTTCCTCTCCCATGATAACCCATTTATCCATTAACCCATTAGTTCTTTAATCCATGAGTAGATTGATTCATAAGGGGATAACCCCTGTGATCCAATCACCACTTAAAGGATGCCCCTCTCAATACTCCCATATCGGGGACAGTTGCAACACAAACAAATTAAGATGGCCTATTAGACACCCTAAATCTTACATCTTAAGGTGTTCTGTGATGTTGCAGTTCAACCCCCTCTCATTCCTCTCTACTCTTTTAGCAGTTACAAACAAACAAACTCACTCACCAAAGAAAACACCAAACAAACATACATCCAATAGTATTGTGTCCGGAATTGGTGGGTTCTTGGTCTAACTGACTTCAAGAATGAAGCCACGGACGCTTGCGGTGAGTGTTACAGTTCCTAAAGATGGTGTGTCCAGAGTTTGTTCATTCAGATGTTCAGATGGGTCCAGAGTTTCTTCCTTCTGGTGGGTTTGTGGTCTAACTGGCTTCAGGAATGAAGCTGCAGACCTTCACGGTGTTACAGCTCATAAAGATAGCGCAGACCCAAAGAGTGAGCAGCAGCTGCCAAAGACGGTGCAGACCCAAAGAGTGAGCAGCAGCAGGATTTATTGCCAAAGGCAAAAGAACAAAGCTTCCACAATCTGGAAGAGGACCCTAGCCGGTTGCCACTGCTAGCTCGGGCAGCCTGCTTTTATTCCCTTATCTGGCCCCACCCACATCCTCTCATTGGCTCATTTTAGAGAGAGCTGATTGGTCCATTTTACAGAAAGCTGATTGGGCCGTTTTACAGATAGCTGATTGGTCCATTTTGACAGAGCGCTGATTGGTGCATTTACAAACCTTTCGCTAGACACAGAGCGCTGATTGGTGCATTTACAATCCTTTAGCTAGACAGGAAAGTTCTCCAAGTCCCCACCAGATTAGCTAGACACGGAGCGCTGATTGATGCGGTTACAAACCTCTAGCTAAACAGAAAAGTTCTCCAAGTCCCCACCCGACACAGAAGCCCAGCTGGCTTCACCTCTCAATGACACTTGCCCTGAGGCTTTGCGGCACCTAGCCTGGGTATTCCGGCAGCCCAGAGGGGGCAGCCCAGTAGGCACCGGCCGGCCACACCGAGTGTGGGCTCCTGAGCCTGCACCCACCCGGAACCAGCACTGGCCCGTGAGCATGCACAGCCCCGCTCCCACCTGCACCTCTCCCTCCACACCTGGTGGGGAGCAGAGGGAGCCGCCGGGCCTCCGCCAGCCCCAGAGAAGGGCCCCCACAGCACAGCGGTGGGCTGAAGGGCTCCTGGAGCACCGCCAGAGCAGTTGCTGAGAGCCAGTGAGGGCTGCTAGCACGTTGTCACCTCTCAGTATTAACAATACAAATACTTTTTTGTCTTATTTGTCCTTTGACTTATTTATAACCAACAGAATGTAGAGAAAGTGATGTTGATGTTGAATGACTCTGGAGGCTAGACCAGAAAATGTTGAAGAGTATCAGAATATACAACCCTAATATATGTTACTTTTGCATAAATTTTATTTTTTAAATTTTTAATTTTTATTTTAAGCTGAAGGCAATTGAGAAAAAGAAGATGCGAGAAGAGCTGTTTACCCTTCCTCTATCTGCTTAAAAGCAAGGAATAAATTTCCATTATAAAGGTGTCCCCTTGTTCTCATACCAAGAAGAGGAGACAGCATCAAGATTACTCTACATAAAGAAACCTAACTAAATAACCCTTTTCTATAATAGTTTCTCCCATGTATTTACCTTCCTACAATTTAATGCCCCTAGAAGCCCAAGCCCCTTTTCTTTGGTTGCTTCCCCACAATTTATCGTACTTTGTTAAAATGGTAGGTAAGCTCCTAAGTGTAACCACTTCTTTGGATTTTTTTAGTTCTTTCTCTGCAGTTCCCATGCATATAAAAATATTAACAACAAATAAAATTTGTATGCTCTTCATTCGTTGGTCCTTCTTTTGTCAGTTTAATTCACAAATTAAGCTGCAGAACCTAAGAGGATGGAGGAAAAGTTTTCCTTTCTTACAAGATCATGTGGCATCTGCTTCACTTACTGAGGAGCCCCGAGCCACCATGTATAAAATCTGAATACCCGAAGACCCCCGTACTGTGAGGAAGCCCGACCACATGGAGAGGCCACATGAAGGTTCTCAAATCAGAACCCCAGCTGAGGTCCCAGCCTACAACCAGTATCAACCACCAGACATGTGAGTAATGATGTTTCCAGTTGATTCCAACCAACAGCCTTTGGGTCACCTCCAGCCTTTGGATCTTTGCATCTGAAATGCCACACATGACAGAGCGGATACAAGCATTTCTGCTGTGTCCTGTCCAAGTCTCTGACTGATAGAATCTGGGCTTGTTCTAGGCACCTGAGTCTTGAGGTTGTTTGTTACACAGCCTCAGTAACTTGAACAACAGTTATGCAACACTTGAGCTAGACCTTGAAAGATGAATAGGGATTTTTGTCTAGCAAAACTGTTTGGAAAAGGCTTAATATTTTAGGAGAAAAGTTAAAAGGTAAGTGTGGTTAACACATGGGTTGTGGGAGAGAATCAGGAGATGAGATGAAAAAAGTTGATGTAAGAAAGTGTGCTGTATGGTTTAGTGAAAATTATATATTTGTTCATTAGCATAGGCAATTTTCTTCCAGACCGCTGGCTTTGAAATGATGTATTTTTAAAATTGCAAAGTTTATACCATAGAATTTCTGGAGGCTTCTGAAATTTCAATTGGAGATAAAACAGGACTTCAAAATGTAACTTCTCCTAAATTATGAGCCATGGTTTAACTGATGAGTAATTTTTAGTTTTATTGTTGGTTAAAAACACACTGTTATTCCCATGAGTGCTTGCATCCAGTTTTAGCATGTGTGTGTGTGTTTCTTTTATTTTTTGTTTTGTTTTGTTTTGTTTTGTTTTGTTTGCGGTGGGCGGGTTGGTATCAGAGTTATGAATGAGAAGCATTCTTATCAGAATATACTGGATACTAATACATTTTGCGTGTAATTTTCTACAGAGGTATTGATTTTAATCAACTTTCAAGATGAAGCACCACATTTGTCAAGGCAGAAGACCCAAATGTGCAATTTTTTCTTAGGGGAAAACTGGCTATAATGAATGTGCTGAAATATATTAGTTATCTATTAACCTCAACACGCAAGAAAGCACTAGATCATTAGTTTGCCTGGTAAGGGAAAAAACAGGGGCTGCAGCCTGCCCAGCTACAGAAGAAAGTGGAATCAGCAGAACAAGTGGCCTGTGAAGATGCCAGCTTGTGAGAAATGCCTGGCTGACTGTGAACAGGGATATTATTAAATGGATGCATATGATGCATAGCGTAATTATACCACTTATGGCAGAAAAACATCACCATTTTATCAAATGCTCCACTGTGTACATCAAAGATCATGGTATCATCTATCTCTGGGATGCCATGTGAGCTTTGCAGTTCTGGAAGGGCTTCGAGTCAAGTTTTGATTAATTCTTGATGGTTTTATTTGATTATAGAAGTAGAGCTTGAATGTGTGTGTGCGTTTTCCCTTTTTCTTGTAAGAACTGACAATCTTGATTAAATTTCCCTTTTAGGAGTGGGAAGCAAGAAGCAAAGTAATTGTCACCACTTCTTGGAGAAGAATGGCTTATAGTGTTTTGAACATATCGTCTCAAAATAACCTCTTCGGAAGATTAGTGGAAAGAAGCAAAACTGTGAAGACCTTGGTTCACAGTAGCTGTTGATGTTTCTTTTTTTCATTTTGGTATTGATTATAATCGCTTCTTCATAAAGCTCAGATGCAGGGTTTATTTCCAGTTCTTTCACCGTGCTTCTTACCTCAGAGTCAAACCATTGCTATACTCTCCACATAGTTGGTTTCCAGTGTTTAAATTGCATGCGTGAGGTGCTCAGGTTTGTGACATTGCTTTACATATATTACTGTAAAAAAAAAACATAACCCCAAATCTAGAGTATATAAGGCTTTGTGCTAAGCAAGCATGGAAAAGAGTTACTTATGGCTTATATCCATGTGTGGACTATGATTGATAGAATTTCCCTTGCAATTGCCAAAGAGAAGTCTACATGGTCTTTGAAGAAACAAATTACCTATGACCCCATGTATTTGCATTTGTGCTCTTCCTAACTATATAGTAGTCTGAATTTAGTCCCCCAACGTAGGGGGATGTTTTAATGGACAAGCACTTAATTCATTTCAAGGTTTTGAGGATTTATCTTATAAGCACTTACTAAGCAGTGGTTATGTCCCAAGGCCAGGGCTGCACCCTGGAGACTCAGGGAGGCACAATACTTGATTTCATGGATCTCATAATCTAGTGCTATGGAAACATTAAAATATTAAAACCACAGTGGAGAAGAGCAGTGGATAGGTCTTAGGGAAGAAGACTTGTATGAAAGGTGATGCCTGAAATCATACTTAGTCATCTTTACATAGGACAATTTTTATGGAAGAATGAAATCTTCAGGATTGAATGATATTTTCATTTTAGCAAACTGGCCATCTCTTTTCTTTGAGCTTATAAACATGGTTGAATGTGTCAAGTAGCGAGACAAGAAAAAAATACCTTTGAGTGACCTTGCTTTATTATGTGAAAAATGACAAACTGGCAGGCAGGAAAGATACATGGCTTACCATGTATCTTTCAATTTTTGGGATGTACTAAAAAATTCAATGCAGTTACCACATAGAAGCAAGAGCTAGAGAAGTTCTGAGAGAATTTTTAATCTTTAGGTCAGACAGCAAGGATGTGAGGCGGTGAAGTTAAATTACACTGAGTCACATTGACGTTGACTAGTCTGATAGATACAGAAACACACAATTACCTTCACTCACAGAGTTTCCTAGGGCTGCAGGAACAAAGCGCCATAAGCTCGGTGGCTCAAAACATTTGGAAATGGTTCTCTCACAGAGTCACAGCCACGGAAGCTCCAAGTCTGAACTCAAGGTGTTGGCAGGGCTGTGTTCCCTCTGGAGGCCCTACGGAGGCCCCTTCCTCGTCTCCAGCTTCTGGTGGCTTCAAGTGTCCCGTAGTTTGTGACAGCAACACTCCAATCTCTGCCTCTGTCTTCACATGGCCTTCTCTGTGCATCTGTGTGTGTCAAATCTTTGTCTGTCTTTGTCTTATAAGGACACTTATTGGATTTAGGGACCACATGGATAATCCAAGATAACCTCATTTCAAAACCCTTAATTTTATAACATTGGCAAGACTTTGTTTGTTTGTTTGTTTGTTTTGCAAATAAGGCCATAGTCACAGGTTCCGGATGGATATATCATTTGAGGGGAGACAATTCAACTCACTATATACACAAACACATGTGTGTATCTATATAGCTGTATAATTGACACCATGAAATCATTAATAAAAACACTGCCCTTTTTTGAGACAGAGTCTCGCTCTGTCGCCCAGGCTGGAGTGCAGTGGCGCGATCTCGGCTCACTGCAATCTCCACCTCCCGGATTCAAGCAATTCTCCTGCCTCAGCCTCCCAAGTAGCTGGGATTACAAGCGCCCGCCACCACGCCTGGCTAATTTTTGTATTTTTAGTAGAGACGGGGTTTCACCATGTTGGCCAGGCTGGTCTCAATCTCTTGACCTGGTGATCCACCTGCCTTGGCCTCCCAAAGTGCTGGGATTACAGATGTAAGCTACCCCTCCCATATAAAACACTGCCCTTTCTATAGAAAAACTGGTCAAGTACTGGACAGTTTACTACAAAAGAAACAGTAAGTAGATAAAAAATGAAACCTAGGTTCAAAAGCATGAATAATGAATCTTGATTTTAATGATGGTTTCATCAGTGTATGCATATGTCCAAACTTATCAAATTGTACACTAAATATGTGTAGTTTTTTATATTGATTTTACCTCAACAAAGCTATTATAAATACAAATAATAAAAAGTGCAAATAAATTGACAAGATACAAATATATTTAAATATCAAAATGATAGAGATTAAAAAACTGTGCTGCTGGCCAGGTGCGGTGGCTCACGCCTGTAATTCCAGCACTTTGGGAGGCCAAAGCGGGTGGATCACCTGAGGTCAGGAGTTTGAGACCAGCCTGGCCAACATGGTGAAACCACATCTCTACTAAAAATACAAAAATTAGCTGGGCATGATGGTGCACGCCTGTGATCCCAACTACTTGGGAGGCTGAGGCAGGAGAATCGCTTGAACCTGGGAGGCAGAAGTTGCAGTGAGCTGAGATCAGGCCGCTGTACTCCAGCCTGGGCAACAGAATGAGGCTCCATCTCAAAAAAACGACAGACAAACAAAAAACAGTGCTGTTGAGTGTGCATTGAGACAGGCATTTTCCAACACTGCCTTTCTGGAAGCAGGGAGGAGAGGCACAGAAATTTCAGCAAGGGTAAAGTCTTCATCCTGCAACCATATTTCTAGGAGTCTAGATAATTCGATATACAGGTAAAGTCACAGCATTTATTTAATCATGTTAATTAGTTATGTAACATATAATAAAATAATATTGTATGTTAATACATAATATAAATATATTATGCTAATACATTGATATATACACACTTAGTCCTTCTATCTGTTACTAAAGGGAGCTCACGTGGCACCAACAAGGAAACACACACTTAGTCCTTCTATCTGTTACTAAAGCGAGCTCACGTGACATCAACAAGGAAACACACTTAGTCCTTCTATCTGTTACTAAAGGGAGTTCACGTGACATCAGCAAGGAAACACAGTCTTATCTGTTACTAAAGCGAGCTCACGCGACATCAACAAGGAAACACAGTTAGTCCTTCTATCTGTTACTAAAGGGAGCTCACGAGACATCAACAAGGAAACACAGTTAGTCCTTCTATCTGTTACTAAAGGGAGCTCACGTGACATCAACAAGGAAACACACTTAGTCCTTCCATCTGTTACTACAGGGAGCTCATGTGACATCAGCAAGGAAACACAGTCCTTCTATCTATTACTAAACGGAGCTCACGTGACATCAGCAAGGAAACACAGTACTATCTGTTACTAAAGGGAGCTCACGTGACATCAAAAACGAAACACACTTAGTCCTTCTATCTGTTACTAAAGGGAGCTCACGCGACATCAACAAGGAAACACAGTCCTTCTATCTGTTACTAAAGGGAGCTCACGTGACATCAACAAGGAAACAAACTTAGTCCTTCTATCCGTTACTAAAGTGAGCTCATGTGACATCAACAAGGAAACACAGTTAGTCCTTCTATCTGTTACTAAGCAAGCTCACCTGACAACAACAAGAAAATACACACTTAGTCCTTTGTATCTGTTACTCAAGCGAGCTCATGACATCAACAAGGAAACACACACTTACTCCTTCTGTTACTAAAGGGAGCTCATGTGACATCAACAAGGAAACACACAGTTAGTCCTTCTATCTGTTGCTAAAGGGAGCTCATGTGACATCAACAAGGAAACACAGTTTGTCCTTCTATCTGTTATTAAAGGGAGCCCACGCGACATCAACAAGGAAACACAATCAGTCCTTCTATCTGTTACTAAAGGGAGCTCACGTGACATCAGCCAGGAAACACACTTAGTCCTTCTATCTGTTACTAAAGGGAGTTCACATGACATCAGCAAGGAAACACAGCCCTTCTATCTGTTACTAAAGGGAGCTCACGCGACATCAACAAGGAAACACAGTCCTTCTATCTGTTACTAAAGCGAGCTCACATGACATCAACAAGGAAACACACTTAGTCCTTCTATCTGTTACTAAAGGGAGTTCACGTGACATCAGCAAGGAAACACAGTTAGTCCTTCTATCTGTTACTAAAGGGAGCTCACGAGACATCAACAAGGAAACACAGTTAGTCCTTCTATCTGTTACTAAAGGGAGCTCAAGTGACATCAACAAGGAAACACACTTAGTCCTTCCATCTGTTACTAAAGGGAGCTCACGTGACATCAGCAAGGAAACACAGTCCTTCTATCTATTACTAAACGGAGCTCACGTGACATCAGCAAGGAAACACAGTCCTATCTGTTACTAAAGGGAGCTCACGTGACATCAAAAATGAAACACACTTAGTCCTTCTATCTGTTACTAAAGGGAGCTCACGTGACATCAACAAGGAAACACAGTCCTTCTATCTGTTACTAAAGGGAGCTCACGTGACATCAACAAGGAAACAAACTTAGTCCTTCTATCCGTTACTAAAGTGAGCTCACGTGACATCAGCAAGGAAACACACTTAGTCCTTCTATCTGTTACTAAAACGAGCTCACCCGACATCAACAAGGAAACATAGTCCTTCTATCTGTTACTAAAGGGGGCTCAGGCAACATCAACAAGGAAACACAGTTAGTCCTTCTATCTGTTACTAAAGGGGGCTCACGTGACATCAACAAGGAAACACACTTAGTCCTTCTATCTGTTACTGAAGGGAGCTCACGCGGCATCAACAAGGAAACACACTTAGTCCTTCTATCTGTTACTAAAGGGAGCTCACGTGACATCAGCAAGGAAACACACTTAGTCCTTCTATCTGTTACTAAAGCGAGCTCACGCGACATCAAAAAGGAAGCACAATCCTTCTATCTGTTACTAAAGGGAGCTCACGCAACATCAACAAGGAAACAAAGTTAGTCCTTCTATCTGTTAATAAAGGGTGCTCACGTGACATCAAGAAGGAAACACAGTTAGTCCTTCTATCTGTTACTAAAGGGAGCTCACGCGGTATCAACAAGGAAACACACTTAGTCCTTCTATCTGTTAGTAAAGGGAGCTCACGTGGCATCAACAAGGAAACACAGGTAGTCCTTCTATCTGTTACTAAAGCGAGCTCACGCGACATCAACAAGGAAACATAGTCCTTCTATCTGTTACTAAAGGGAGCTCAGGCAACATCAACAAGGAAACACAGTTAGTCCTTCTATCTGCTACTAAAGGGAGCTCACGTGACATCAACAAGGAAACACACTTAGTCCTTCTATCTGTTACGAAAGGGGGCTGACGTGACATCAACAAGGAAACACACTTAGTCCTTCTATCTGTTACTAAAGCGAGCTCATGCGACATCAACAAGGAAACACACTTAGTCCTTCTATCTGTTAGTAAAGCGAGCTCACGTGACATCAACAAGGAAACACAGTTAGTCCTTCTCTCTGTTACTAAAGCGGGCTCACGTGACATCAAAAAGGAAACACACTTAGTCCTTCTATCTGTTACTAAAGCGAGCTCACGTGACATCAACAAGGAAACACAGTCCTTGTATCTGTTACTAAAGGGAGCTCACGTAACATCAACAAGGAAACACAGTTAGTCCTTCTATCTGGTACTAAAGCAAGCTCACCTGACATCAACAAGAAAATACACACTTAGTCCTTTGTATCTGTTACTCAAGCGAGCTCATGACATCAACAAGGAAACACACACTTACTCCCTCTGTTACTAAAGGGAGCTCATGTGACATCAACAATGAAACACACAGTTAGTCCTTCTATCTGTTGCTAAAGGGAGCTCACGTGACATCAACAAGGAAACACATTTAGTCCTTCTATCTGTTACTAAAGCGAGCTCACGTGACATCAGCAAGGAAACACACTTAGTCCTTCTATCTGTTACTAAAGCGAGCTCACATGACATCAACAAGGAAACACACTTAGTCCTTCTATCTGTTACTAAAGGGAGCTCACGCGACATCAACAAGGAAACACACTCAGTCCTTCTATCTGTTACTAAAGGGAGTTCACGTGACCTCAGCAAGGAAACACAGTCTTATCTGTTACTAAAGTGAGCTCACATGACATCAACAAGGAAATAGACTTAGTCCTTCTATCTGTTGCTAAAGGGGGCTCACGTGACTTCAACAAGGAAACACAGTTAGTCCTTCTATCTGTTACTAAAGCGAGCTCACATGACATCAACAAGGAAACACAGTCCTTCTATCTGTTACTAAAGGGGGCTCACGTGGCATCAACAAGGAAACACAGTTAGTCCTTCTATCTGTTACTAAAGCGAGCTCACGCGACATCAACAAGGAAACACACTTAGTCCTTCTATCTGTTACTAAAGGGAGCTCACGTGGCATCAACAAGGAAACACAGTTAGTCCTTCTATCTGTTACTAAAGCGAGCTCACGCGACATCAACAAGGAAACACACTTAGTCCTTCTATCTGTTACTAAAGCGAGCTCACGCGACATCAACAGGGAAACACAGTTAGTCCTTGTATCTGTTACTAAAGCGAGCTCATGCGACATTGACAAGGAAACACAGTCTTATCTGTTACTAAAGGGAGCTCACGTGGCATCACCAAGGAAACACAGTTAGTCCTTCTATCTTTTACTAAAGCGAGCTCACGTGACATCAACAAGGAAACACACTTAGACCTTCTATCTGTTACTAAAGCGAGCTCACGTGACATCAACAAGGAAACACACTTAGTCCTTCTATCTGTTACTAAATCGAGCTCACGCGACATCAACAAGGAAACACAGTCCTTCTTCCTGTTACTAAAGGGGGCTCACGTGACATCAACAAGGAAACACACTTAGACCTTCTATCTGTTACTAAAGCGAGCTCATGTGACATCAACAAGGAAACACACTTAGTCCTTCTATCTGTTACTAAAGTGAGCTCACGCGACATCAACAAGGAAACACAGTCCTTCTATCTGTTACTAAAGGGGGCTCACGTGACATCAACAAGGATACACACTTAGTCCTTCTATCTGTTACTAAAGCGAGCTCATGCGACATCAACAAGGAAACACAGTCCTTCTATCTGTTACTAACGCGAACTCACGTGATATCAACAAGGAAACACACTTAGTCCTTCTATCTGTTACTAAAGCGAGCTCACGCGACATCAGCAAGGAAACACAGTCCTTCTATCTGTTACTAAAGGGGGCTCATGTGACATCAACAAGGAAACACACTTAGTTCTTCTATCTGTTACTAAAGCGAGCTCATGTGACATCAACAAGGAAACACACTTAGTCCTTCTATCTGTTACTAATGCGAGCTCACGCGACATCAACAAGGAAACACAGTCCTTCTATCTGTTACTAAAGGGGGCTCACGTGACATGAACAAGGAAACACACTTAGTCCTGCTATCTGTTACTAAAGCGAGCTCATGCGACATCAACAAGGAAACACAGTCCTTCTATCTGTTACTAAAGCGAGCTCACGTGACATCAACAAGGAAACACACTTAGTCCTTCTATCTGTTACTAAAGTGAGCTCATGTGACATCAACAAGGAAACACAGTCCTTCTATCTGTTACTAAAGGGGGCTCATGTGACATCAACAAGGAAACACACTTAGTCCTATCTGTTACTAAAGCGAGCTCATGTGACATCAACAAGGAAACACACTTAGTCCTTCTATCTGTTACTAAAGGGAGTTCACGTGACCTCAGCAAGGAAACACAGTCTTATCTGTTACTAAAGTGAGCTCACGTGACATCAACAAGGAAATAGACTTAGTCCTTCTATCTGTTACTAAAGGGGGCTCACGTGACTTCAACAAGGAAACACAGTTAGTCCTTCTATCTGTTACTAAAGCAAGCTCACATGACATCAACAAGGAAACAGAGTCCTTCTATCTGTTACTAAAGGGGGCTCACGTGGCATCAACAAGGAAACACACTTAGTCCTTCTATCTGTTACTAAAGGGAGCTCACGTGGCATCAACAAGGAAACACAGTTAGTCCTTCTATCTGTTACTAAAGCGAGCTCACGCGACATCAACAAGGAAACACACTTAGTCCTTCTATCTCTTACTAAAGCGAGCTCACGCGACATCAACAGGGAAACACAGTTAGTCCTTGTATCTGTTACTAAAGCGAGCTCATGCGACATCGACAAGGAAACACAGTCTTATCTGTTACTAAAGGGAGCTCACGTGGCATAAACAAGGAAACACAGTTAGTCCTTCTATCTTTTACTAAAGCGAGCTCACGTGACATCAACAAGGAATCACACTTAGTCCTTCTATCTGTTACTAAAGCGAGCTCACATGACATCAACAAGGAAACACACTTAGACCTTCTATCTGTTACTAAAGCGAGCTCACGTGACATCAACAAGGAAACACACTTAGTCCTTCTATCTGTTACTAAATCGAGCTCACGCGACATCAACAAGGAAACACAGTCCTTCTTTCTGTTACTAAAGGGGGCTCACGTGACATCAACAAGGAAACACACTTAGTCCTTCTATCTGTTACTAAAGCGAGCTCATGTGACATCAACAAGGAAACACACTTAGTCCTTCTATCTGTTACTAAAGTGAGCTCACGCGACATCAACAAGGAAACACAGTCCTTCTATCTGTTACTAAAGGGGGCTCACGTGACATCAACAAGGATACACACTTAGTCCTTCTGTTACTAAAGCGAGCTCATGCGACATCAACAAGGAAACACAGTCCTTCTATCTGTTACTAACGCGAACTCACGTGATATCAACAAGGAAACACACTTAGTCCTTCTATCTGTTACTAAAGCGAGCTCACGCGACATCAGCAAGGAAACACAGTCCTTCTATCTGTTACTAAAGGGGGCTCATGTGACATCAACAAGGAAACACACTTAGTCCTATCTGTTACTAAAGCGAGCTCATGTGACATCAACAAGGAAACACACTTAGTCCTTCTATCTGTTACTAAAGCGAGCTCACGCGATATCAACAAGGAAACACAGTCCTTCTATCTGTTACTAAAGGGGGCTCACGTGACATGAACAAGGAAACACACTTAGTCCTTCTATCTGTTACTAAAGGGAGCTCACGTGACATCAGCAAGAAAACACAGTCCTTCTATCTGTTACTAAAGGTAGCTCACGTGACATCAGCAAGGAAACACAGTCCTTCTATCTGTTACTAAAGGGAGCTCACGTGACATCAGCAAGGAAACACAGTCCTTCTGTCTGTTACTAAAGGGAGCTCACGCGACATCAACAAGGAAACACAGTCCTTCTATCTGTTACTAAAGGGAGCTCACGTGACATCAGCAAGTAAACACACTTAGTCCTTCTGTCTGTTACTAAAGGGAGCTCACGTGACATCAGGAAGGAAACACAGTCCTTCTATCTGTTACTAAAGGGAGCTCACGCGACATCAACAAGGAAACACAGTCCTTCTATCTGTTACTAAAGCGAGGTCACGTGACATCAACAAGGAAACATACAGTTAGTCCTTTGTATCTGTGATTTGTGCATGTGCTGATTCAAGCAACCACGAGTCAAAAATATTTGCAAAAAAAGCCCTTTAAACTGTATTGAACATATACAAAGTTTTTCTTTTTATTATTCTCTAAATGACACAGCGTAACAACGATTTGCATAGCATTTACATTGTAGTAGGTGTTACCAGTAATCTAGAGATGATTTAAAGTATAGGGAGAATGTGCATAGTCTACGCTGAATACTACAGAACTGCATATCAGGGACTTGAGCGTCTAGGGATTCTGGTATCTGGGGGAGGTCCTGGATCCAATTTCTCATGAATATCGACAGATGACTGTATGTTGTATCTTGATGCAATGAATAAACAAAGCAGATAACAGTAACTGACATGGGGTAGAAGGTGAGGGGAAATGAAGGGGTTGCTATTTATATGTTTACATGGGATGAACAGGGCAGACCCCACAGAGGGGATATTTAACAGAAGCTAAACGTACGAGAAGCAGTCCTGAGAACTGTAGACCAAGAGAGCTCGTGGTGGCCCTGGGAAGGGGCTTGTCAAATCTCGTGGCCCCTAGGGGCTGGTGACTGTTAGCGGCTGGCCAACAGCCAGCTGCCGCCCTGAAATCTACCACTGTCAGCCGGTAACCCACCATGGTGGAGTATAAAGGCAGGCCTGCTGCGAGGAGATGAAAGACTCCTCTGCTGGGCAGCCCGGGCTGGAGGGTTCTACTACCAGCCTTGCCAAAAGTTTCTCAGAATTGCACTGCATTTTAAGACTTTGCCTGCCCAGCCCCCTGCAGCCCCTTCTCATTTTCCTCCACATGCACTTCTCCCAAATAATCTCTTGAGTGGCAAATACCATTCCGGTGTTTGCTGCTCCAAGAGCCCAGATGTACACAGTGTTCCAAGAGAGGCTGCACAAATACAGTGGCCCCGAGGAGCTTGGCATTTTCGAGGAGCATCAAGGAGGCCAGTGTGGCGTTCATGGAAAGGACAGAGGGAGAGTGGGAGATGAGGTCAGAAATGTACTTGAAGTCCTTGCCGAAGAAAAATCGTTGACTTGCTTATTATAAAACCCTTTTTGTTAAGGAAGAAATAAAAACTGTTAACCAATGGCATCTGTATCCATTACAGAATTTAAAGGCAGGGTATCATACAGCCAGTACCTTACAGTCTTCCCATTAGCAGCATTCAACACATCTGTCCAGGTAGTAAACCTAAGTGGCCCAGCTCTGGGCCATTAAATTTTGATGTAACCCATTAAGGAAACTTACGGCCTTAGTTCAAAGGGCTGTTGCCATTGTGTCTGTGAGAGCAGTGCTGCAGAGTGCATTTTATGCAAATCTCATAGATTTTAATGAGTGCTCCTGCTTAATAAGCTAGTTAGACCATTTGGGCATTTACTTGAGAGTGACCACAAATGCCTTTTTCTGAAACCATTTTACAGTGCTAACATTTCACTGAAATAGCACTTAACACGGAGCCAGGCACACAGTGAGCACTAAGAGTGTTACGTGACTGATGACAGGGATGAAGAACAGGAGTCTTACCAGGTGTGTCAGTCTCGATGCTCCTGAATGACCCAGACAAAAAGGGACTAGAAACTTTCTTTTCAGGAGTTTGTGGCTTAGATCCCTGTTTCACCACAAAGCATGAGCTTGACACAGCCTGGACTTGACAGCACTTTCCACAGGGCACTTAAAAATACTTGTACCTCCTCTCTTTTACCTCCATAAACCATGACAGGTCTTTGCTCAGCCTCTGATAAGCAAAAGATTAGAAAATCCCTTTAAACTTCAGAAACAGAGCAATGCTCAGTCAGGCGATAAAAGCTGCAGAAATTGGTCTTGAATATTATCACTGTGTATCAACTGAAGTCAGATGAAGAGCTCCACATTCATCCAAAGTTCTTTTCATACTAATTAGATGCTCTTCAAAGGTGTAATTACCATTTAAAAATGACTTTGGAGTGCAGGATACACAATAGATTTTTAATGTCTTTTAATTTATTTCGATGTTTCTCATATTTCATTAGTACGTTCTTATTTTACCAATGAGTCACAGGACTTTCAAGGACTTTTCCCTCTCCCACAGTTAAAATGCTAAGCAGAAGCTAAGCTCACGTGAAAAACTTGTCTCAATAACCAGAGAAAGACTATACTAATTACAATTTGGATTGTGTGGATTATCAATTTGTCCGATACTCCGTTTGCCTCCACCTTGAGGAGAGAACTATTTCCAGCCCCAGAGTCAAGCTGCCTCATTGCACGGAAGAGGGAGTAAAATAAGAAGCCTGGTGATGTGCTTATTGTCACAATTTGTGGTACAGCTGACACTTAGACTACATCTGCCCTTGAAGCTCAACTTCTTTGCCCTACTCCTGTGGTGTTTCTTGGCATCTGGTATCATTTCAAAAGGATAAGAATGGCATAGAGAAGGTTTCTCATTGCTAAGCATGGAGTAGGAATATTTTAGTGAAATGTGTAAGTTTTGGGGCGGAAGTAAAAACACCCCATCTGCTCTTCCACACTTGGAGAGAGCTGCACACAAAGCAGCAACTTGGCTCTGGGCGGCAGCTGGCTGAGGTCTCATGGTCTGGAGGACAGCCCCTGGCTTTCACATCGTCCGTGTCTTGCCATTTCTCTTTGGATAAGGCACAAATGTCTGAAGATATCCTCCAGGCCCAAGGACCTGCTCCTATTCTATCCAGTCTCGTCTTTCATGAGCCACTGTGCTTCAGCCACTGCTTTTCCTTCCACCCCTTTGTCTTTCCTTTTTCCCAGGTATAAGGCCTTTGCACTTTCTAAACCCTCTCCTGCGTCTAGTGGGGACTTGGAGAATCTTTGTGTCTCCCTAAGGGATTGTGGATGTACCAATCAGCAACCTGTGTCTAGCTCAAGGTTTGTAAATGCACCAATCAGTGCTTTGTGTCTAGCTAACCTAGTGGGGACTTGGAGAACTTTTGTGTCTAGCTCAGGGATTGTAAATGCACCAATCAGCACCCTGTCAAAACGGACCAATCAGCTCTCTGTAAAATAGACAAATCAGCTCTCTGTAAAATGGACCAATCAGCAAGGTGTAGGTGGGGCCAGATAAGGGAATAAAAGTAGGCTGCCTGAGCCAGCAGTGGTAACCTGCTAGGGTCCCCTTCTGCACTGTGGAAGCTTTGTTGTTTTGCTCTTTGCAATAAATCTTGTTTCTGCTCACTCTTTGGGTCCACACTGCCTTTATGAGCTCTAACACTCATCGCGAAGGTCTACAGCTTCATTCCTGAGCCAGCCAGACCACGAACCCACCAGGAGGAATGAGCAACTCCAGACAAGAGGAAGGAGCAAACTCCGGACACACCGCCTTTAAGAACTGTAACGCTCACTGCGAGGGTCCGTGGCTTCATTCTTGAAGTCAGTGAGACCAAGAACTCACCAATTCCTGACACAAAGAGAGGCCTAAGAAACCATCTAGGCCAATGCTATGGTTTTGGAGTTCAGGACATTGTGGCTTAGAGACAATAATGGATCTGCCTAAAATCACAACACAAACTAGTACCAGTTCTTGAATGAAAATGTAGGTCTTCTGATTCCTAGCCAAATGCTTTTTATAAGAATGAAAATTTTGTGTCCTTGGAAGGCCTAAGGCATTTTCCCAGAGTAACTTAGAAGAGTCGGGCTCCATGAATAATTTAGTAATATAGAAATAAGATTTTTTAAAATGTCTAAAATTGACTGCATGACCCTGGATATAAAGTATAAAAGCAGAAGACAGATGTGATGTGAGGCTGGCAACAAGTCGTGCCATGCTCTATGTACCCACACTAAAAGACAATATCCTTTCCACCTTACATACTTTATGGCAGTATAAGCATGTTAAGTATGCAAATCCTACAATGCTGGCAACATTTCAAGACTAGTTGTGTCACGGTGTTCATAAGCCTGGGAGCTCACTAAGCTACAGAGCTCTTAAAACGTAGAAGTAGAAGAGGTAGAAAAAAAAAAGGAATCACACTCCTTATTACTGTAAACCAAAGAAAAAATATTTACATTTTCAGCATTCTGTTGGGTAGGAAAAAAGCTTTTCCTATCCCATCTTACATGTTGTGCTGGAGCCTGTGAATTAAATTGAAAAAACAACAGCAACAAAAATTAACAAGAGGCAAAAGCACACACATGTAATTGATGTTTTCATGTTACATGCGTGCTGGCTACACATAAGATAAGTGAAAAACTCAAAACACTGGTTAGACTCAGGGGCTTATAAACGATGTGTGTAATTCTGGAATAGATCCTACTGACCTTGAAGCAGGCCCAATACTCCCACAGCGTGTTCTTTTGTATAAACATAGACATTGACTCTTCCGCTCTTAAAGCTTGAAACTTGTATTTGTTTCATCTGAGTTCTTTCCTCAGGAAAGGACCTTCAGGCCTCTCCAAAAAAAAAAAAAAAAGCATTAAAGAACTGAAACTCACCAGATGAGACCTCCTTGTTCCTCCCTAGTTCGTGTTTCCTACACATTGTTACATTTCTTGCCTGTTGTATAAAACCCCATTTTTAGTCAGTCAGGGCGATGGATTTGAGGCTGAGCTCCCATCTCCTCAGCTGCAGCACCGGATGAAAGCTTCTTCCCTGGAAACACTCACCATCTCAGTGATTGGCTTTCTGTGCAGTGAGCAGCAGGACTTAGACCAAACCCATGGTGTTTTGGTAACAACCTCACCAAAATAGATGGGCACACACACAAGCCTTTAAAGATACAAAGTTAAACGGATAGTATGGATCATTCAGTATAGAGGAAACAGCATAGCAAATGTATAGAGACGGAAAATTACTAGATATGTTCCAGGAGCAACATGCAAATTCCACTGCCAGTTTTGGCTGTGAGGTCAAACAGATCTGATCTGAATGTTTGCATTCCTCCAAAATTCATACATTGAAACCTAATTCCCAATGCAATAACATTAAGAGGTGGGGTCTCTAGGAGGTGACCAGGTCATAAGGGTGGACCCTTCATGAATGGGTTTAGTACCCTTATAAAAATGTCTGAGAGAGCTTGCTTGTTTCTTCTGCCATATGAGGACATAGAGAAAACTCCATCTATGATGAATGGGCCCTCAGCAGGCACCGAGTCCACTGCTGCCATATGAGGACATACAGAAGACTCCATCCATGATGCATGGGCCCTCAGCAGGCACCAATTCTACTGCCGCCATATGAGGACATACAGAAGACTCCATCCATGAATTGGCTCTCAGCAGGCACCGAGTCTACTGCTGCCATATGAGGACATACAGAAGAATCCATCCATGATGCATGGGCCCTCAGCAGGCACCGATTCTACTGCTGCCTTGAGCTTGGACCTCTGGCCTCCAGAACTACTAGCAATACATTTCTGTTGTTTTATAAATTACCTAGTCTAAGGTACATTGCAGCAGAAATGGACTGAGAGAGACATCTTTCAGAGAATTACCTCTGTTTGTTTGTCTGTTTCTGTTTTGTAAAACTGGAAGAAGAATAGAACTTACAGTTCTGTGGTATAAGATTGTGTCCAGAATTGGTGGGTTCTTGGTCTCACTGACTTCAAGAATGAAGCTACAGACCCTCAAGGTGAGTGTTACAGTTCTTAAAGGCGGCGTGTCTGGAGTCTGTTCCTTCTGATGTTCAGATGTGTTGGGAGTTTCTTCCTTCTGGTGGGTTTGTGGTCTTGCTGGCTCAGGAGTGAAGCTGCAGACCTTCGCGGTGAGTGTTACAGCTCTTGGGGCAGTGTGTCTAGAGTTGTTCGTTCCTCCTGGTGGGCTCCTGGTATCGCTGGCTTCAGGAGTGAAGCTGCAGACCTTCACGGTGAGTGTTACAGCTCATAAAGGTAGTGTGGACCCAAAGAGTGAGCAGTAGCAAGCTTTATTGCAAAGAGCAAAAGAACAAAGCTTCCACAGTGTGGAAGGGGACCCCAGCAGATTGAAGCTTCTGGCTCGGGTAGCCTGCTTTTATTCTCTTATCTGGCCCCACCCACATCCTGCTGATTGGTCCATTTTACAGAGAGCCGATTGGTCTGTTTCACAAAGAGCTGATTGGTCAGTTTTGACAGGGTGCTGATTGGTTCGTTTACAATCCCTGAGCTAGACACAAAAGTTCTCCACATCCCCACTAGATTAGCTAGATAGAGTGTCGATTGGTGTATTTACAAACCCTGAGCTAGACAGAGTGCTGATTGGTGCATTTACAAACCTTGAGCTAGATACAGCGTGTCAATTGTTGCATTCACAATCCCTTAGCTAGACATAAAGGTTCCCCAAGTCCTCACCAGATTAACTAGATACAGAGTGCTGATTGGTGCATTCACAAACCCTGAGCTAGACGCAGGGTGCTGATTGGTGTGTTTACAAACCTTGAGCTAGATACAGAGTGCTGATTGGTGTATTTACAATCACTTAGCTAGACATAAAGATTCTCCAAGTCCCCACCAGACTCAGGAGCACAGCTGGCTTCACCCAGTGGATCCTGCACCAGGGCCGCAGGTGGAGCTGCCCGCCACTTCCGCACTATGAGCCCGCACTCCTCAGCCCTTGGGCGGTCGATGGGACTAGGCACAGCCCTGGAGCAGGGAGCGCCCCTTGTCGGGGAGGCTCGGGCTGCACAGGAGCCCATGTGGGGGTGCGGCGGGGGAGGCAGGCTCAGGCATGGTGGGCTGCAGGTCCCAAGCCCTGCCCTGCCGGAGGCAGCTAAGGCCCAGCAAGAAGTCGAGCACAGCAGCTGGTGGCCCAGGTGCTAAGCCCACTGCCCGGGGCTTGTGGGCAGGCTGGTGGCTCTGAGTGCGGGGCTCGCCGAGCCCACGCCCACCGGGAACTCGTGCTGGCCCTCAAGCACCGTGAACAGCCCCGGTTCCCGCCTGTGTCTGTCCCTCCACACCTCCCTGCAAGCTGAGGGAGCCGGCTCCAGCCTTGGCCAGCCCAGAAAGAAGCTCCCACAGTGCAGCGGCGGGCTGAAGGGCTCCTCAAGCATGGCCAGAGTGGGCGCCAAGGCTGAGGAGGCACAGAGAGCGAGCCAGGGCTGCGAGGGCTGCCAGCATGCTGTCACCTCTCAAGATAAAATGAAATAAATGGATATGAAGTTCTCAGCACAGTGCCTAGAAAACAATAAGATCAGCAAATGTTAGCAACCATAATAATAATTATCATTAGTTGCTGCAGTAGAGAGTTTATGTAGAAAACTAGAAGGATGTAGGCTAGTAAATGGTCAGGTCCTATCAGAAAACCATCCATTATAATGTGTGATATCAAATCTACTGTATCTCAAGTATAAGTTCAAAAAATGTTCAGAAGTCAAGCTCTTTCAAGAAAGGTCAATAACACCTATCATTGGCTCATCATCATGGTCCTTCAATCAGCTCTCTCCTCATTAGGAAATTTGCTATCTGTGAGAAAAGGAGTCTCCTTAATGGGAAAACGTGCTTTGGATTTCCGCTTGATGGGAGGCACTGAATACTAGTGAATTTTGCTTTGTGGCAATTAAATTGAAAGGTCAAAATATGCTAGTTTGGATTCATTTCTAACGTGGCAGATAACTACCAAAATTGCAACTATCACTAAAGCACTTTGATGTACATATGCAACAAAGGCAGAAAACTGCTCTGAATGTCTCCTAAATCAAATATGTCTCTTGTGTATCTTACAAGTAAAAATATCGTTTTAAGCGTTTCTTTAATGTGGAAAATTTTGCTAAGAAACAAGAGATGCCCACTAGTTTGATTTGCAGTTACATCCACTTTCATCAGCTGTTATGGTTACTGATAATTCTTGGCAAGAGTGTTTAACTCATATGATGTAATATTCAGCTTTTTAGTAAAGTTATTCTTTATATGCCTTATCCCAAATCCCAGCATACACTCTCTTCAGAGGCCATGTTTTGTGTTTGTCTCCATGCCAAAAGTAGTCATAATGGAATTCAATGCACATAGACGAAAGCTGGTTGAATAAATTGCACCTATAACCAAGAAGATCAAACATGCTTCCTAGTCTACAGGGTATTTTGCACGTAATATTGGAAGAGAGACTGTGGAGTATCTGACACATTGATATAACCTCCAGTTGCTAGATGCCTAGTAACTCCGTGCACGAAAAGAGTGTTTCAAGAGATTCTTTCATAAACAGAAGTTGCACAAAATGACCACAGGTCGCTCGAAACCCTAAATATCTATGATATTCTACCAATGCTATATTCACAAACGTGTCTTAACGGTTCTCACCGGATTCTATTTTACTCACTTTTGAAAGGTCACCTAATTTTTTAAAGTGAGCTAATTACTGTAGTGAGTAAAATAGTCTTGAATGATTGCAGGTGGCAATACTATCCTATTACCCTTCTAAAGGCTAAGGTGACACCAATTAAATTAAGGGTGACTGATAATTCTTTTTTATTACTACACCTGTATTCATATTTATATACTTTTCATTAATGCTCCTGGAGTCAGTTAAAAGATAAAGGGGAACTAAACTCAGCTCATTAATAAAATTTAAAAGTTGGTTTCCAGACTCTATATGCTGATTACTCTCTGCCACCACGAAGGCATTTTAAAGCAGCACAGATGAGCACATAAGCAACGAAAACAGACTTTCCACAAATAAACCTTGAAAAAGAAAAAAAAAGGCAAGATAAACAAGATCAGCAGGCCAGCAGTCCTGTCAATTCTTCACTGTCCCAGTGGTACTTTCAACTCATTAATGTTGGCTGCTGTGTTCTCAGGTGACTTGCTGGTATAAATGCCTCATTGTCTGGTAACCAAAGGGAACAGCATTTTATTGCCAGTAACCTGATAAAGAATTTTGAAAACAAGAGACACAGCAGATAATGAGCGTTTTGCATGGGCCCTCTACACTCTATAACCATTCAAGCTTTCCGAGCAGAAAGACATGACCTTTTCAGTCCTTGTGCCTTCTACGCTGTGCAGTGCTAGTCGGTGCCGGGATGAAGCTGACAGAATCCTCCCAAGTGGCTCCAAGCACAAATGAGGTCATCACAATGGAAAGCACTAATCCGACTCATTGTACTTACTCTAAACACATGAGCACTAACAAGTTTCCTCTACTTAAATGTTGCTTTTGTGTGTATGTGTCTGTGTTTGTCTGTCATTTAAAGGTATGACCAGATGCTACCTTGCAGCCTTTTCCTGGTAAACTCTTGGTCATTTTCAACATTTTCCTGACATTCCAGCTGAATAGTTATCATCACTTCAATTTTTAATACAATAATTTAAAGCATTCTATGATTCCAGTTTTCAAAAGGTACAACACACATAAGTACTTCCCTTAAGATGCTGATAACTAGTGAAAACACTATAGTGATAATTCTCTACTAAACAGCAAAATAAAGGCTAAAATGTTATTGATGCTTTCGCATTCTGTAGAGAAAGTGATTTTTCATAGCGTTATTGACTGCATTTCATCTGTTTTGCATATTGTTAATGAACCTTGTTCTCTTTAAAACAAAACAAAACAAAACAAAACATCTTTCTTTAAAAAAAAGAACTCACTTATTTCCTTGACACCAACATACACTATGACTTCCAAATTATGCCACCTCTGGGGAACAGTTTTTCATATCCTCTCAAGTACTTTTTTTTTTTTTTTTTTTTTTGAGATGGAGTCTCTCTCTGTTGCCCAGGCTGGAGTACAGTGGTGCAATGTCGGCTCACTGCAACCTCTGCCTCCCAGGTTCAAGTGATTCTCCTGCCTCAGCCTCCTGAGTAGCTGGGATTATAGGCGCCCGCCACCATGCTCGGCTAATTTTTTTGTATTTTTAGTAGAGACAGGGTTTCACCATGTTGGTCAGACTGGTCTCGAACTCCTGACCTGCTGATCCACCTGCCTCGGCCTCCCAAAGGGCTGCGATTACAGGCATGAGCCACTGTGCCCGGCCAGTAATTTTACTCTGTGTGTTACTTGGCATTTTCCACTTTTCTGTTCTCTTTTGTGCATTTGTATTCTATTTTATATTAGTCCATGGTTGTGGCACATATTAAAGATGTTTGTAAATTCTTGTCAAGTAAAATGAATAAACGATCTGATGCCAGTTGTTCTTAAAATTATGTTCCCTCTCAATCTCAGAGGGACTTAATACTCTTCACACTTTTTACCGACTGAATGCAGGAAAATCCCAGGTCATCCATGAAGCCTGTGATTCTGTTGGTTCCATCGTCCAACGTGTCCCAGCTATCATTCAAGAGTGGACATAATGCTCTGCTCCCAGACCACGTCAAAGTGTCCACTCTGGGTGCCCCACGACAACCTACTGGCCAGCACTGACTACCAGACCCTGTTGAAGTGTCCACTCTGGGTGCTCCACGACAACTTACTAGCCAACACTGACTACAGGGCTCTAAACTAAAGGAGAGAACTGTTGGGTGGTTATGCTTGCAATTAGACCCTCCAGGGTGTCTACTACCACTGATGGAAGCAGGGGAAAATAAATATTATACATTCAGAGTTTGGCTACTCCAAGAGTAGGAGTCCCCCAAACACTGGGGACTCCTACTGAAGCATCATATATGAGACATATGAAGAGTAGAAAATGTAGGAAACATTGACAAACATGTATTAAGTCACTTCAATATAAGCCTTGGAAAAGTCTAGGAGCTCTATTAGAGATGCATGAATAGAATACAATCAGGGGACATGGTATGACCAGAGTTGAATAAACAGCATTGCTCACTACTCTTCCTGAAAATAATACTAAAAACAGCAAGAATATATTTTAAAATACAATTTCATTTTAAGTTGAACTAGGAGTAAATAGAAATGGACCATAGACTCAAAAGTACATATAGAGACTCTAAACAGCTGAAATCAAGCAAGCCATGGAAGACCAAAGGAAGAAAAGCACAGTGATGGCTTAAAGGCACAGTGGTGGCTGATTTCAGAAAGGGCTGAAGGCCAGGGACTCTGAAATATAAAAGTTGTATTCTTTGTTTGTAATAATGGATTCAGAACCTCTATGGACCGAGGTCATCGAAGACTTTCTGGACCCAGTTTCACTCAGAGAAGGTGATGCTCTACAAAGAGCCGATGACTTAGGTGTATCTGCAGAAGCCACTGCATTCTATGGCAGTGAAGGAGAAGACTGTTGGGTTGTTAAGCTCTTAGCCGTATCTGCAGAAGCCACCAAATCCTATGATGGTGAAGGAGAAGACTTAGCCATACCTGCAGAAGCCACCTAATTCTATGGTGGTGAAGGAGAAGATTTAGCCGTATCTGCAGAAGCCTCCAAATTCTACGGTGGTGAAGGAGAAGATTTAGCCATATCTGCAGAAGCCTCCTAATTCTATGGTGGTGAAGGAGAAGACTTAGCCATATCTGCAGAAGCCACCTAATTCTATGGTGGTGAAGGAGAAGACTTAGCCATATCTGCAGAAGCCACCTAATTCTATGGTGGTGAAAGAGACTTAGCTGTATCTGCAGAAGCCATCTAATTCTACGGTGGTGAAGGAGAAGATTTAGCCGTATCTGCAGAAGCCATCTAATTCTATGGTGGTGAAGGAGAAGATTTAGCCATATCTGCAGAAGCCTCCAAATTCTACGGTGGTGAAGGAGAAGATTTAGCCATATCTGCAGAAGCCTCCTAATTCTATGGTGGTGAAGGAGAAGACTTAGCCATATCTGCAGAAGCCACCTAATTCTATGGTGGTGAAGGAGAAGACTTAGCCATATCTGCAGAAGCCACCTAATTCTATGGTGGTGAAAGAGACTTAGCTGTATCTGCAGAAGCCATCTAATTCTACGGTGGTGAAGGAGAAGATTTAGCCGTATCTGCAGAAGCCATCTAATTCTATGGTGGTGAAGGAGAAGATTTAGCCGTATCTGCAGAAGCCTCCTAATTCTACGGTGGTGAAGGAGAAGACTTAGCTGTATCTGCAGAAGCCATCTAATTCTATGGTGGTGAAGGAGAAGATTTAGCCATATCTGCAGAAGCCATCTAACTCTATGGTGGTGAAGGAGAAGATTGTTGGGTTGCTAAGTTTGCAAGACAACTTTGCCTCCTCCTTTCTTCTTCATAGAAACTTTTCACAAATTATTGGTTCAAAACATTTCAATTAATTCAGTAATTAATAATTATTGATTTATGTAAAGACACTATAAGAAAAAACTATGGGGAAAAATGCAAACTTATCAATGGAGAAAGATCACACAACAAAAATCAATGCCAAAAGCAAGATGAAAATGTTACCCAAATATTTTGCCATGAAATGAAAACTTAATGGAGCTGTCAGATCAAAAATGGAAGACCATGAAGCAGAAATATAAGAACTCAGAGAAAGAAGCGGTGAAACGTTAGAATAAAAAAAATGTGCTGACAAAAACCAGCAAACATGAAGAAAAACCAAGATCTTCATAGAAACGAAGGTGAACCTAGAAGAAGTAGAGAAATTAAAACAGACTTTAGAAAACTCAGTAAGGAACATAGAAAATATAAATAAAAAAGTAAAAGTAAATACAGTAAAATTAAAGGGAAAATCTAAAAATTATTAGAGGGAAAACAGTGGCTATAGAAGATAAGCAGAGACAATCTAAAATATATCAAAAAAGGAAGGTATGGAAAGAAAAAAAAAAGACAGCATTGAAAGAGCATGAATCCCTTTAAGAACTGATTCAACAAAACTTTTCCAGAATAAAATTAGGTTCCACAGAAAAGGAAACACTAAGAACACCCTACAAAGTTTTAAAGAAACATTAAGGAAAAGATCCTTTAATCAAGCCGCTCTTAAAAAAGAGAATGTAACAGGCTAGTCTCATATTTTTTCCTAGCAAAATTTAATGCCAAGATACAGTGGCCCATTACTTACAAGATATTCAAAAAGTGGAATGAAAACCAAAGGTTTTATACCTAGTCAGGCTACATTTCAAAGTATACTTCAGGCAGTTTTAAATACACACAAACTCAGGGAATATTTTCCTACTTGGGAAAAGTCCCAGAGAACAAACTTTAGCCAACAAAGAGATAACTAAGGAAAAACTATGGTGAAATATTATAATTGTGAATTGTGTTGACTAAAACTAAAATAAACATGAGAACCAGGGTAATAAAATGCATATAAATGCCATATGCCCTGGAAATAAACCAATATCGAAACTAACAAAAAGTGGAAGAAGGAGGAAAGAATGGAAGACATAGGGTAGATCAAGGCTGCTGCATACGATGTTTGTACAGTTTTCAACTTTGAGGGGTCTTGTTTGCTGAGACCCTGACATCATCTGCAGCTCCAGAGCTGAGAGACACGATGTGCACACACACAGGTGGGGGTCTGAGGAGGAGGACTTGGTCAACTCAGCTGTAACAGCCAGGACTCAAAGTGGATCATTCAAAGCAGTAAATCAAATGTTAGAAATAGAAGCGTATGTAATAGCAAAATAACAAATACTAAATAACATGCCACGGATACTCTCATTGACCGAATTCTAGTAGTGAGAGGCCTGGAAGGGAGTAGAAAGAGAAAACACCTAGTTTTAACACAGCGGAAAATAGAGAAGTAATCACTCCTGGGTAAATGAAGAGATCATAAAAATACTGCATAAAGCTGTCATTTAAAAAATTACCACTGAGCAAGTTCCCAGACGAAGCTACCAGAAAAAAGTTTTTCTCAAGCAAATAAATCAGATCACATAGAAAACAACTTTTAAAATTTATGAACACATAAGATGCTATCATATACGCATGAAACACCAAGCATAACTGTTATATCAATAAATATAAATGTAAATATGATATACACATATATAATTAACCATTACTGAAGGACTTGAAAAAGAATTTGATCAGATTTCCAGAGGAGAGGAGCTTGGGATACTCTTTTCCCCGCAGTGAAACAACCGTTTAA
>NT_187509.1:0-40191 GCF_000001405.40 Homo sapiens | reverse complement strand
TTCAATGCCTCTGCTGTATGACTCTGCGTGTGTGTGTGTGTGTGTGTGTGTGTCTGTGTGTGTGTCTCCCATTCTCTCTTCTCTCTCTGTCTGTCAGTCTCTGTGTGTTTCTTTCCCACTCTCTGTGGGTTTGTACCAGCCGAAGTTGCGTCAGGGCTACCAGGTCGGTGGAGGATTGGGGGTGTTGCGAAATTGGCAGAAACCTCTTTGCTCCTCTGGTAGGCATTTGAAAACGTGGCTTGCGTCAGGCACAGTCGGCACCCCCACCTCCCGGTTCCCAGGTGTGGTTTGATTTTCCTTGGCACTGACGGAAATGTCACCCGTTTCCCCCTTCCACCGGCATATGCCTGGACCCCACCCTTCGTTTCGCCGTCGCCCCATATGCCTCCGGTGACACACATTAACACCAACTGCTGTGGGATTGGCCAGTGCCACGCGTGGTCACATGGTCTCCCCCTGGGTTTCGCCTCTGTTCCTCTTTGCAGTTGTCCTGTAAAGCGCGTTCGGCTTTCCGGAACCCCTGGGCTTTTACAAGCGGGGCAGGCCACTGCACTTTCAAAGGAGGAGGGAGGCAGAGGGCTGATGGATGAGTGAGTTTGCTCTGACACTAGGCCTTGAGACCTATGGGGTCATTGTGTGCTGCAGCGAGGCCCTGCCGGCCTGAGCAGATGTGGTGAGCCCATCCTATGTCACTCGGAGGGGGCCAGAATGGGATCTCAACGGGAGTCCAGAGAACACAGCAGGCGTCCTGAAGCTCCCCCTCCCTTGGTGGAAGTCGGCTCAAGCAGGTCCTGAGGACAGGAGCCCTGGGGGTTTGGGCCTGGGACAGGACGAGACACCCGCGGTCCCCTCTCCCATGCCACCCCAAACAGGACCCAGGACACAGCCGCCTTCGCGGCGGCAGCAGGAGCATCGCGGCCGCCGCGCGGCGGTGGCAATATTTAAAGGGGACGCAGCCTATCTGTCAGGAGTGGAGCGTGAGTCGGCTCAGCCAATGCGCATGCGCGAGGCCCCAGCGGTTTCTCCGGTCACAGTGGTTCCCACGTTTGTCTTAGAATCCAGTCCCCGAGGCTTTGCAGAGCAGGAGCCCTCCGTGGCAGTGCTTGGGTATCGAGGCTCTGAGGCTCCGGCCTCACCTCTCCACGGGCTCGAAGGGAAACTCTCCTGATGCCAGCAGTCGCAAAGGGCCGACTATGAAGATGAAACCCCAGGTGGAGACCGGGGAAGCAGCACGGGATCCCAGCCTCAGGCCTGCACGGACGGTGTTTGTTGGGGTGAGTTTCGCCAAAAGTCGCGCCGCTGTCCGTGATCTCGAGGACGGGTCGGCCTGCGTGCCCCTGGGCTGCTCTCTCACCCGAGGGTCGTTCTCCTCCAGAGCAGAACCCCGGAGCCTCAGGGGTTGCCTGGGGGTGTGTGTTTCAATGACTGTGCTGTATGACTCTGCGTGTGTGTGTGTGTGTCTGTGTGTTCGTCTCCCATTCTCTCTTCTCCCTCTGTCTCTCAGTCTCTGTGTGTTTCTTTCCCACTCTTTGTGGGTCTGTGCCAGCCGAAGTTGCTTCAGGGCTACGAGGTCGGTGGAGGATTGGGGGTGTTGCGAAATTGGCAGAAACATCTTTGTTCCTCTGGTAGGCATTTGAAAACGTGGCTTGGGTCAGGCACAGACGTCCCCCACACCCTCCGGGTCCCAGGGGTTGTTTGATTTTCCTTGGCATTGACGGAAAGGTCACCCGTTTCCCCCTTCCACCGGCACGTGCATGGACCCCACCCTTCGTTTCGCCGTCGCCCCGTTTGCCTCCGGTGTCACACGTTAACACCAACTGCTGTGGGATTGGCCAGTGCCACGCGTGGTCACATGGTCTCCCCCTGGATTTCGCCTCTCTTCCTCTTTGCAGTTGTCCTTTTAAGCACGGTCGGCTTTCCGGAACCCCTGGGCTTTTACAAGCGGGGTAGGCCACTGCTCTTTCAAAGGAGGAGGGAGGCAGAGGGCTGATGGATGAGTGAATTTGCTCTGACACTAGGCCTTGAGACCTATGGGATCATTTTGTGCTGCAGCGAGGCCCTGCCGGCCTGACCACGTGTGGTGAGCCCATCCTATGTCACTCGGAGGGGGCCAGAATGGGATCTCAACGGGAGTCCAGAGAACACAGCAGGCGTCCTGAAGCTCCCCCTCCCTTGGTGGAAGTCGGTTCAAGCAGGAGCTGAGGACAGGAGCCCTGGGGGTTTGGGCCTGGGACAGGACCAGACACCCGTGGCCCCCTCTCCCACACCGCCTGAAACAGGACCCAAGACCCAGGCGCTGCCGGGGCGGCAGCAGGAGCATCGCGGCCGCCGCGCGGCGGTGGCGATATTTAAAGGGGACGCAGCCTATCTGTCAGGAGTGGAGCGTGAGTCGGCTCAGCCAATGCGCATGCGCTAGGCGCCAGCGGTTTCTCCCGTCACAGTGGTTCCCACGGTTGTCTTAGACACTAGTCCCCGAGGCTTGGCAGAGCAGGAGCCCTCCGTGGCAGTGCTTGGGTATCCAGGCTCTGAGGCTCCGGCCTCACCTTTCCACGGGGTCGAAGGGAACCTCTCCTGATGACAGCAGTCGCAAAGGGCCGACCATGATGATGAAACCCCAGGCGGAGACGGGGGAAGCAGCACGGGATCCCAGCCTCAGGCCTGCACGGACGGTGTTGGTTGGGGTGAGTCTCACCAAAAGCCTTACCGCTGTCTGTGATCTCGAGGACGGGTCGGCCTGCGTGCCCCTCGGCTGCTCTCTCACCCGAGGGTCGTTCTCCTCCAGAGCAGAACCCCGGATCCTCAGGGGTTGCCTGGGGGTGTGTGTTTCAATGCCTCTGCTGTATGAATCTGCGTGTGTGTGCGTGTGTGTCTGTGTGTGTGTCTCCCATTCTCTCTTCTCTCTCTGTCTCTCACTCTCTGTGTGTTTCTTTCCCACTCTCTGTGGGTTTGTACCAGCCGAAGTTGCGTCAGGGCTACCAGGTCGGTGGAGGATTGGGGGTGTTGCGAAATTGGCAGAAACCTCTTTGCTCCTCTGGTAGGCATTTGAAAACGTGGCTTGGGTCAGGCACAGGAGGTCCCCCTACCCCACGGTTCCCAGGTGTTG
Source organism: Homo sapiens (assembly GCF_000001405.40). Taxonomy (NCBI): domain Eukaryota; kingdom Metazoa; phylum Chordata; class Mammalia; order Primates; family Hominidae; genus Homo; species Homo sapiens. Next base: position 37,088 of record NT_187509.1, on the reverse strand, counting down.
TTTGATTTTCCTTGGCATTGACGGAAATGTCACCCGTTTCCCCCTTCCACCAGCATATGCCTGGACCCCACCCTTCGCTTCGCCGTCGCCCCATATGCCTCCGGTGACACACATTAACACCAACTGCTGTGGGATTGGCCAGTGCAACGCGTGGTCACATGGTCTCCCCCTGGGTTTCGCCTCTGTTCGTCTTTGCAGTTGTCCTGTAATGCGCGTTTGGCTTTCCGGAACCCCTGGGCTTTTACAAGCGGGGCAGGCCACTGCTCTTTCAAAGGAGGAGGGAGGCAGAGGGCTGATGGATCGGTGAATTTGCTCTGACACTAGGCCTTGAGACCTATTGGGTCATTGTGTGCTGCAGCGAGGCCCTGACGGCCTGACCAGATGTGGTGAGCCCATCCTATGTCACTCGGAGGGGGCCAGAATGGGATCTCAACGGGAGTCCGGAGCACACAGCAGGCGTCCTGAAGCTCCCCCTCCCTCGCTGGAAATCTGCTCAAGCAGGTCCTGAGGACAGGAGCCCTGGGGGTTTGGGCCTGTGACACGACGAGAGACCCGCGGCCCCCACTCCCACGCCGCCCCAAACAGGACCCAGGACACAGCCGACGCCGGGGCGGCAGCAGGAGCATCGCGGCCGCCGCGCGGCGGTGGCGATATTTAAAGGGGACAAAGCCTATCTGTCAGGAGTGGAGCGTGAGTCGGCTCAGCCAATGCGCATGCGCGAGGCCCCAGCGGTTTCTCCGGTCACAGTGGTTCCCACGTTTGTCTTAGAAACCAGTCCCCGAGGCTTTGCACAGCAGGAGCCCTCCGTGGCAGTGCTTGGATATCGAGGCTCTGAGGCTCCGGTCTCACCTCTCCACGGGCTCGAAGGGAAACTCTCCTGATGCCAGCAGTCGCAAAGGGCCGACTATGAAGATGAAACCCCAGGTGGAGACGGGGGAAGCAGCACGGGATCCCAGACTCAGGCCTGCACGGACGGTGTTGGTTGGGGTGAGTCTCGCCAAAAGTCGCGCCGCGGTCAGTGATCTCGAGGACGGGTCGGCCTGCGTGCTCCTGGGCTGCTCTCTCACCCGAGGGTCGTTCTCCTCCAGAGCAGAACCCCGGATCCTCAGGGGTTGCCTGGGGGTGTGTGTTTCAATGCCTCTGCTGTATGACTCTGCGTGTGTGTGTGTGTGTCTGTGTGTTTGTCTCCCATTCTCTCTTCTCCCTCTGTCTCTCAGTCTCTGTGTGTTTCTTTCCCACTCTTTGTGGGTTTGTGCCAGCCGAAGTTGCTTCAGGGCTACGAGGTCGGTGGAGGATTGGGGGTGTTGCGAAATTGGCAGAAACCTCTTTGCTCCTCTGGTAGGCATTTGAAAACGTGGCTTGGGTCAGGCACAGACGTATCCCACACCCTCCGGGTCCCAGGTGTTGTTTGATTTTCCTTGGCATTGACGGAAATGTCACCCGTTTCCCCCTTCCACCGGCACATGCCTGGACCCCACCCTTCGTTTCGCCGTCGCCCCGTATGCCTCCGGTGACACACATTAACACCAACTGCTGTGGGATTAGCCAGTGCCATGCGTGGTCACATGGTCTCCCCCTGGGTTTCGCCTCTTTTCCTCTTTGCAGTTGTCCTGTAAAGCGCGTTCGGCTTTCCGGAACCCCTGGGCTTTTACAAGCGCGGCAGGCCACTGCACTTTCAAAGGAGGAGGGAGGCAGAGGGCTGATGGATGAGTGAATTTGCTCTGACACTAGGCCTTGAGACCTATGGGGTCATTGTGTGCTGCAGCGAGGCCCTGCCGGCCTGACCACATGTGGTGAGCCCATCCTATGTCACTCGGAGGGGTCCAGAATGAGATCTCAACGGGAGTCCAGAGAACACAGCAGGCGTCCTGAAGCTCCCCCTCCCTTGGTGGAAGTCGGCTCAAGCAGGTCCTGAGGACAGGAGCCCTGGGGGTTTGGGCCTGGGACAGGACGAGACACCCGCCGTCCCCTCTCCCATGCCGCCCCAAACAGGACCCAGGACACAGCCGCCTTCGCGGCGGCAGCAGGAGCATCGCGGCCGCCGCGAGGCGGTGGCAATATTTAAAGGGGACGCAGCCTATCTGTCAGGAGTGGAGGAGCATGAGTCGGCTCAGCCAATGCGCATGCGCGAGGCCCCAGCGGTTTCTCCGGTCACAGTGGTTCCCACGGTTGTCTTAGAAACCAGTCCCCGAGGCTTTGCAGAGCAGGAGCGCTCCGTGGCAGTGCTTGGGTATCGAGGCTCTGAGGCTCCGGTCTCACCTCTCCACGGGCTCGAAGGGAAACTCTCCTGATGCCAGCAGTCGCAAAGGGCCGACTGTGAAGATGAAACCCCAGGTGGAGACGGGGGAAGCAGCACGGGATCCCAGACTCAGGCCTGCACGGACGGTGTTTGTTGGGGTGAGTCTCGCCAAAAGTCGCGCCGCTGTCCGTGATCTCGAGGACGGGTCGGCCTGCGTGCCCCTGGGCTGCTCTCTCACCCGAGGGTCGTTCTCCTCCAGAGCAGAACCCCGGAGCCTCAGGGGTTGCCTGGGGGTGTGTGTTTCAATGACTGTGCTGTATGACTCTGCGTGTGTGTGTGTGTGTCTGTGTGTTTGTCTCCCATTCTCTCTTCTCCCTCTGTCTCTCAGTCTCTGTGTGTTTCTTTCCCACTCTTTGTGGGTTTGTGCCAGCCGAAGTTGTTTCAGGGCTACGAGGTCGGTGGAGGATTGGGGGTGTTGGGAAATTGGCAGAAACATCTTTGTTCCTCTGGTAGGCATTTGAAAACGTGGCTTGGGTCAGGCACAGACGTCCCCCACACCCTCCGGGTCCCAGGTGTTGTTTGATTTTCCTTGGCATTGACGGAAAGGTCACCCGTTTCCGCCTTCCACCGGCATATGCCTGGACCCCACCCTTCGTTTCGCCGTCGCCCCGTTTGCCTCCGGTGTCACACGTTAACACCAACTGCTGTGGGATTGGCCAGTGCCAGGCGTGGTCACATGGTCTCCCCCTGGATTTCGCCTCTCTCCCTCTTTGCAGTTGTCCTTTTAAGCACGGTCGGCTTTCCGGAACCCCTGGGCTTTTACAAGCGGGGTAGGCCACTGCTCTTTCAAAGGAGGAGGGAGGCAGAGGGCTGATGGATGAGTGAATTTGCTCTGACACTAGGCCTTGAGACCTATGGGATCATTTTGTGCTGCAGCGAGGCCCTGCCGGCCTGACCACGTGTGGTGAGCCCATCCTATGTCACTCGGAGGGGGCCAGAATGGGATCTCAACGGGAGTCCAGAGAACACAGCAGGCGTCCTGAAGCTCCCCCTCCCTTGGTGGAAGTCGGCTCAAGCAGGTCCTGAGGACAGGAGCCCTGGGGGTTTGGGCCTGGGACAGGACCAGACACCCGTGGCCCCCTCTCCCACACCGCCTGAAACAGGACCCAAGATGCAGGCGCTGCCGGGGCGGCAGCAGGAGCATCGCGGCCGCCGCGCGGCGGTGGCGATATTTAAAGGGGACGCAGCCTATCTGTCAGGAGTGGAGCGTGAGTCGGCTTAGCCAATGCGCATGCACTAGGCGCCAGCGGTTTCTCCCGTCACAGTGGTTCCCACGGTTGTCTTAGACACTAGTCCCCGAGGCTTGCAAGAGCAGGAGCCCTCCGTGGCAGTGCTTGGGTATCCAGGCTCTGACGCTCCGGCCTCACCTTTCCACGGGGTCGAAGGGAACCTCTCCTGATGACAGCAATCGCAAAGGGCCGACCATGATGATGAAACCCCAGGCGGAGACGGGGGAAGCAGCACGGGATCCCAGCCTCAGGCCTGCAAGGACGGTGTTGGTTGGGGTGAGTCTCACCAAAAGTCGTGCCGCCGTCTGTGATCTCGAGGACGGGTCGGCCTGCGTGCCCCTGGGCTGCTCTCTCACCCGAGGGTCGTTCTCCTCCAGAGCAGAACCCCGGATCCTCAGGGGTTGCCTGGGGGTGTGTGTTTCAATGCCTCTGCTGTATGACTCTGCGTGTGTGTGCGTGTGTGTCTGTGTGTGTGTCTCCCATTCTCTCTTCTCTCTCTGTCTCTCACTCTCTGTGTGTTTCTTTCCCACTCTCTGTGGGTTTGTACCAGCCGAAGTTGCGTCAGGGCTACCAGGTCGGTGGAGGATTGGGGGTGTTGCGAAATTGGCAGAAACCTCTTTGCTCCTCTGGTAGGCATTTGAAAACGTGGCTTGGGTCAGGCACAGGAGGCCCCCCTACCCCACGGTTCCCAGGTGTTGTTTGTTTTTCCTTGGCGTTGACGGAAATGTCACCCGTTTCCCCCTTCCACCGGCATATGCCTGGACCCCACCCTTCGTTTCGCCGTCGCCCCGTATGCCTCCGGTGACACACATTAACACCAACTGCTGTGGGATTGGCCAGTGCCACGCGTGGTCACATGGTCTCCCCCTGGGTTTCGCCTCTGTTCCTCCTTGCAGTTGTCCTGAAAAGCGCGTTCGGCTTTCCGGAACCCCTGGGCTTTTACAAGCGGGGCAGGCCACTGCACTTTCAAAGGAGGAGGGAGGCAGAGGGCTGATGGATGAGTGAGTTTGCTCTGACACTAGGCCTTGAGACCTATGGGGTCATTGTGTGCTGCAGCGAGGCCCTGCCGGCCTGACCACATGTGGTGAGCCCATCCTATGTCACTCGGAGGGGGCCAGAATGGGATCTCAACGGGAGTCCAGAGAACACAGCGGGCGTCCTGAAGCTCCCCCTCCCTCGCTGGAAGTCGGCTCAAGCAGGTCCTGAGGACAGGAGCCCTGGGGGTTTGGGCCTGGGACAGGACGAGACACCCGCGGTCCCCTCTCCCATGCCGCCCCAAACAGGACCCAGGACACAGCCGACGCCGGGGCGGCAGCAGGAGCATCGCGGCCGCCGCGCGGCGGTGGCGATATTTAAAGGGGACGCAGCCTATCTGTCAGGAGTGGAGCGTGAGTTGGCTCAGCCAATGCGCATGCGCGAGGCCCCAGCGGTTTCTCGGGTCACAGTGGTTCCCACGGTTGTCTGAGAAACCAGTCCCCGAGGCTTTGCAGAGCAGGAGCCCTCCGTGGCAGTGCTTGGGTATCGAGGCTCTGAGGCTCCGGCCTCACCTCTCCACGGGGTCGAAGGGAACCTCTCCTGATGACAGCAGTCGCAAAGGGTCGACCATGATGATGAAACCCCAGGCGGAGACGGGGGAAGCAGCACGGGATCCCAGCCTCAGTCCTGCACGGACGGTGTTGGTTGGGGTGAGTCTCGCCAAAAGCCTTACCGCTGTCCGTGATCTCGAGGACGGGTCGGCCTGCGTGCTCCTGGGCTGCTCTCTCACCCGAGGGTCGTTCTCCTCCAGAGCAGAACCCCGGATCCTCAGGGGTTGCCTCAGGGTTCTCAGGGTTCAATGCCTCTGCTGTATGACTCTGCGTGTGTGTGCGTGTGTGTCTGTGTGTGTGTCTCCCATTCTCTCTTCTCTCTCTGTCTCTCACTCTCTGTGTGTTTCTTTCCCACTCTCTGTGGGTTTGTACCAGCCGAAGTTGCGTCAGGGCTACCAGGTCGGTGGAGGATTGGGGGTGTTGCGAAATTGGCAGAAACCTCTTTGCTCCTCTGGTAGGCATTTGAAAACGTGGCTTGGGTCAGGCACAGGAGGCCCCCCTACCCCACGGTTCCCAGGAGTTGTTTGATTTTCCTTGGCATTGACGGAAATGTCACCCGTTTCCCCCTTCCACCGGCATATGCCTGGACCCCACCCTTCGCTTCGCCGTCGCCCCGTATGCCTCCGGTGACACACATTAACACCAACTGCTGTGGAATTGGCCCGTGCCACGCGTGGTCACATGGTCTCCCCCTGGGTTTCGCCTCTGTTCGTCTTTGCAGTTGTCCTGTAATGCGCGTTTGGCTTTCCGGAACCCCTGGGCTTTTACAAGCGGGGCAGGCCACTAGTCTTTCAAAGGAGGAGGGAGGCAGAGGGCTGATGGATCGGTGAATTTGCTCTGACACTAGGCCTTGAGACCTGTGGGGTCATTGTGTGCTGCAGCGAGGACCTGCCGGCCTGACCAGATGTGGTGAGCCCATCCTATGTCACTCGGAGGGGGCCAGAATGGGATCTCAACGGGAGTCCGGAGCACACAGCAGGCGTCCTGAAGCTCCCCCTCCCTCGCTGGAAATCTGCTCAAGCAGGTCCTGAGGACAGGAGCCCTGGGGTTTTGGGCCTGTGACACGACGAGACACCCGCGGCCCCCGCTCCCACGCCGCCCCAAACAGGACCCAGGACACAGCCGACGCCGGGGCGGCAGCAGGAGCATCGCGACCGCCGCGCGGCGGTGGCGATATTTAAAGGGGACGCAGCCTATCTGTCAGGAGTGGAGCGTGAGTCGCCTCAGCCAATGCGCATGCGTGAGGCGCCAGCGGTTTCTCCCGTCACAGTGGTTCCCACGGTTGTCTGAGAAACCAGTCCCCGAGGCTTTGCAGAGCAGGAGCCCTCCGTGGCAGTGCTTGGGTATCGAGGCTCTGAGACTCCGGCCTCACCTCTCCACGGGGTCGAAGGGAACCTCTCCTGATGACAGCAGTCGCAAAGGGTCGACCATGATGATGAAACCCCAGGCGGAGACGGGGGAAGCAGCACGGGATCCCAGCCTCAGGCCTGCACGGACGGTGTTTGTTGGGGTGAGTCTCGCCAAAAGCCTTACCGCTGTCCGTGATCTCGAGGACGTGTCGGGCTGCGTGCCCCTGGGCTGCTCTCTCACCCGAGGGTCGTTCTCCTCCAGAGCAGAACCCCGGAGCCTCAGGGGCTGCCTGGGGTGTGTGTTTCAATGCCTCTGCTGTATGAATCTGCGTGTGTGTGTGTGTGTGTGTGTCTGTGTGTGTGTCTCCCATTCTCTCTTCTCTCTCTGTCTCTCACTCTCTGTGTGTTTCTTTCCCACTCTCTGTGGGTTTGTGCCAGCCGAAGTTGCGTCAGGGCTACCAGGTCGGTGGAGGATTGGGGGTGTTGCGAAATTGGCAGAAACCTCTTTGCTCCTCTGGTAGGCATTTGAAAACGTGGCTTGGGTCAGGCACAGTCGGCACCCCCACCTCCCGGTTCCCAGGTGTGGTTTGATTTTCCTTGGTACTGACAGAAATGTCACCCGTTTCCCCCTTCCACCGGCACATGCCTGGACCCCACCCTTCGTTTCGCCGTCGCCCCGTATGCCTCCGGTGACACACATTGACACCAACTGCTGTGGGATTAGCCAGTGCCACGCGTGGTCACATGGTCTCCCCCTGGGTTTCGCCTCTGTTCCTCTTTGCAGTTGTCCTGTAAAGCGAGTTCGGCTTTCCGGAACCCCTGGGCTTTTACAAGCGGGGCAGGCCACTGCACTTTCAAAGGAGGAGGGAGGCAGAGGGCTGATGGATGAGTGAATTTGCTCTGACACTAGGCCTTGAGACCTATGGGGTCATTGTGTGCTGCAGCGAGGCCCTGCCGGCCTGACCACATGTGGTGAGCCCTTCCTATGTCACTCGGAGGGGGCCAGAATGGGATCTCAACGGGAGTCCAGAGAACACAGCAGGCGTCCTGAAGCTCCCCCTCCCTTGGTGGAAGTCGGCTCAAGCAGGTCCTGAGGACAGGAGCCCTGGGGGTTTGGGCCTGGGACAGGACGAGACACCCGCGGTCCCCTCTCCCATGCCACCCCAAACAGGACCCAGGACACAGCCGCCTTAGCGGCGGCAGCAGGAGCATCGCGGCCGCTGCGTGGCGGTGGCAATATTTAAAGGGGACGCAGCCTATCTGTCAGGAGTGGAGCGTGAGTCGGCTCAGCCAATGCGCATGCGCGAGGCCCCAGCGGTTTCTCGGGTCACAGTGGTTCCCACGGTTGTCTTAGAAACCAGTCCCCGAGGCTTTGCAGAGCAGGAGCCCTCCGTGGCAGTGCTTGGGTATCGAGGCTCTGAGGCTCCGGTCTCACCTCTCCACGGGCTCGAAGGGAAACTCTCCTGATGCCAGCAGTCGCAAAGGGCCGACTATGAAGATGAAACCCCAGGTGGAGACCGGGGAACCAGCACGGGATCCCAGCCTCAGGCCTGCACGGACCGTGTTTGTTGGGGTGAGTCTCGCCAAAAGTCGCGCCGCTGTCCGTGATCTCGAGGACGGGTCGGCCTGCGTGCCCCTGGGCTGCTCTCTCACCCGAGGGTCGTTCTCCTCCAGAGCAGAACCCCGGAGCCTCAGGGGTTGCCTGGGGGTGTGTGTTTCAATGCCTCTGCTGTATGACTCTGCGTGTGTGTGTGTGTGTCTGTGTGTTTGTCTCCCATTCTCTCTTCTCCCTCTGTCTCTCGGTCTCTGTGTGTTTCTTTCCCACTCTTTGTGGGTTTGTGCCAGCCGAAGTTGCTTCAGGGCTACGAGGTCGGTGGAGGATTGGGGGTGTTGCGAAATTGGCAGAAACATCTTTGTTCCTCTGGTACGCATTTGAAAACGTGGCTTGGGTCAGGCACAGACGTCCCCCACACCCTCCGGGTCCCAGGTGTTGTTTGATTTTCCTTGGCATTGACGGAAAGGCCACCCGTTTCCCCCTTCCACCGCCACGTGCATGGACCCCACCCTTCTTTTCGCCGTCGCCCCGTTTGCCTCCGGTGTCACACGTTAACACCAACTGCTGTGGGATTGGCCAGTGCCAGGCGTGGTCACATGGTCTCCCCCTGGATTTCGCCTCTCTCCCTCTTTGCAGTTGTCCTTTTAAGCACGGTCGGCTTTCCGGAACCCCTGGGCTTTTACAAGCGGGGTAGGCCACTGCTCTTTCAAAGGAGGAGGGAGGCAGAGGGCTGATGGATGAGTGAATTTGCTCTGACACTAGGCCTTGAGACCTATGGGATCATTTTGTGCTGCAGCGAGGCCCTGCCGGCCTGACCACGTGTGGTGAGCCCATCCTATGTCACTCGGAGGGGGCCAGAATGGGATCTCAACGGGAGTCCAGAGAACACAGCAGGCGTCCTGAAGCTCCCCCTCCCTTGGTGGAAGTCGGCTCAAGCAGGTCCTGAGGACAGGAGCCCTGGGGGTTTGGGCCTGGGACAGGACCAGACACCCGTGGCCCCCTCTCCCACGCCGCCTGAAACAGGACCCAAGATGCAGGCGCTGCCGGGGCGGCAGCAGGAGCATCGCGGCCGCCGCGCGGCGGTGGCGATATTTAAAGGGGACGCAGCCTATCTGTCAGGAGTGGAGCGTGAGTCGGCTCAGCCAATGCGCATGCGCTAGGCGCCAGCGGTTTCTCCCGTCACAGTGGTTCCCACGGTTGTCTTAGACACTAGTCCCCGAGGCTTTGCAGAGCAGGAGCCCTCCGTGGCAGTGCTTGGGTATCCAGGCTCTGAGGCTCCGGCCTCACCTTTCCACGGGGTCGAAGGGAACCTCTCCTGATGACAGCAGTCGCAAAGGGCCGACCATGATGATGAAACCCCAGGCGGAGACGGGGGAAGCAGCACGGGATCCCAGCCTCAGGCCTGCACGGACGGTGTTGGTTGGGGTGAGTCTCACCAAAAGTCGTGCCGCCGTCTGTGATCTCGAGGACGGGTCGGCCTGCGTGCCCCTCGGCTGCTCTCTCACCCGAGGGTCGTTCTCCTCCAGAGCAGAACCCCGGATCCTCAGGGGTTGCCTGGGGGTGTGTGTTTCAATGCCTCTGCTGTATGACTCTGCGTGTGTGTGCGTGTGTGTCTGTGTGTGTGTCTCCCATTCTCTCTTCTCTCTCTGTCTCTCACTCTCTGTGTTTTTCTTTCCCACTCTCTGTGGGTTTGTACCAGCCGAAGTTGCGTCAGGGCTACCAGGTCGGTGGAGGATTGGGGGTGTTGCGAAATTGGCAGAAACCTCTTTGCTCCTCTGGTAGGCATTTGAAAACGTGGCTTGGGTCAGGCACAGGAGGCCCCCCTACCCCACGGTTCCCAGGTGTTGTTTGTTTTTCCTTGGCGTTGACGGAAATGTCACCCGTTTCCCCCTTCCACCGGCATATGCCTGGACCCCACCCTTCGTTTCGCCGTCGCCCCGTATGCCTCCGGTGACACACATTAACACCAACTGCTGTGGGATTGGCCAGTGCCACGCGTGGTCACATGGTCTCCCCCTGGGTTTCGCCTCTGTTCCTCCTTGCAGTTGTCCTGAAAAGCGCGTTCGGCTTTCCGGAACCCCTGGGCTTTTACAAGCGGGGCAGGCCACTGCACTTTCAAAGGAGGAGGGAGGCAGAGGGCTGATGGATGAGTGAGTTTGCTCTGACACTAGGCCTTGAGACCTATGGGGTCATTGTGTGCTGCAGCGAGGCCCTGCCGGCCTGACCACATGTGGTGAGCCCATCCTATGTCACTCGGAGGGGGCCAGAATGGGATCTCAACGGGAGTCCAGAGAACACAGCGGGCGTCCTGAAGCTCCCCCTCCCTCGCTGGAAGTCGGCTCAAGCAGGTCCTGAGGACAGGAGCCCTGGGGGTTTGGGCCTGGGACAGGACGAGACACCCGCGGTCCCCTCTCCCATGCCGCCCCAAACAGGACCCAGGACACAGCCGACGCCGGGGCGGCAGCAGGAGCATCGCGGCCGCCGCGCGGCGGTGGCGATATTTAAAGGGGACGCAGCCTATCTGTCAGGAGTGGAGCGTGAGTTGGCTCAGCCAATGCGCATGCGCGAGGCCCCAGCGGTTTCTCGGGTCACAGTGGTTCCCACGGTTGTCTGAGAAACCAGTCCCCGAGGCTTTGCAGAGCAGGAGCCCTCCGTGGCAGTGCTTGGGTATCGAGGCTCTGAGGCTCCGGCCTCACCTCTCCACGGGGTCGAAGGGAACCTCTCCTGATGACAGCAGTCGCAAAGGGTCGACCATGATGATGAAACCCCAGGCGGAGACGGGGGAAGCAGCACGGGATCCCAGCCTCAGTCCTGCACGGACGGTGTTGGTTGGGGTGAGTCTCGCCAAAAGCCTTACCGCTGTCCGTGATCTCGAGGACGGGTCGGCCTGCGTGCTCCTGGGCTGCTCTCTCACCCGAGGGTCGTTCTCCTCCAGAGCAGAACCCCGGATCCTCAGGGGTTGCCTCAGGGTTCTCAGGGTTCAATGCCTCTGCTGTATGACTCTGCGTGTGTGTGCGTGTGTGTCTGTGTGTGTGTCTCCCATTCTCTCTTCTCTCTCTGTCTCTCACTCTCTGTGTGTTTCTTTCCCACTCTCTGTGGGTTTGTACCAGCCGAAGTTGCGTCAGGGCTACCAGGTCGGTGGAGGATTGGGGGTGTTGCGAAATTGGCAGAAACCTCTTTGCTCCTCTGGTAGGCATTTGAAAACGTGGCTTGGGTCAGGCACAGGAGGCCCCCCTACCCCACGGTTCCCAGGAGTTGTTTGATTTTCCTTGGCATTGACGGAAATGTCACCCGTTTCCCCCTTCCACCGGCATATGCCTGGACCCCACCCTTCGCTTCGCCGTCGCCCCGTATGCCTCCGGTGACACACATTAACACCAACTGCTGTGGAATTGGCCCGTGCCACGCGTGGTCACATGGTCTCCCCCTGGGTTTCGCCTCTGTTCGTCTTTGCAGTTGTCCTGTAATGCGCGTTTGGCTTTCCGGAACCCCTGGGCTTTTACAAGCGGGGCAGGCCACTAGTCTTTCAAAGGAGGAGGGAGGCAGAGGGCTGATGGATCGGTGAATTTGCTCTGACACTAGGCCTTGAGACCTGTGGGGTCATTGTGTGCTGCAGCGAGGCCCTGCCGGCCTGACCAGATGTGGTGAGCCCATCCTATGTCACTCGGAGGGGGCCAGAATGGGATCTCAACGGGAGTCCGGAGCACACAGCAGGCGTCCTGAAGCTCCCCCTCCCTCGCTGGAAATCTGCTCAAGCAGGTCCTGAGGACAGGAGCCCTGGGGTTTTGGGCCTGTGACACGACGAGACACCCGCGGCCCCCGCTCCCACGCCGCCCCAAACAGGACCCAGGACACAGCCGACGCCGGGGCGGCAGCAGGAGCATCGCGACCGCCGCGCGGCGGTGGCGATATTTAAAGGGGACGCAGCCTATCTGTCAGGAGTGGAGCGTGAGTCGCCTCAGCCAATGCGCATGCGTGAGGCGCCAGCGGTTTCTCCCGTCACAGTGGTTCCCACGGTTGTCTGAGAAACCAGTCCCCGAGGCTTTGCAGAGCAGGAGCCCTCCGTGGCAGTGCTTGGGTATCGAGGCTCTGAGACTCCGGCCTCACCTCTCCACGGGGTCGAAGGGAACCTCTCCTGATGACAGCAGTCGCAAAGGGTCGACCATGATGATGAAACCCCAGGCGGAGACGGGGGAAGCAGCACGGGATCCCAGCCTCAGGCCTGCACGGACGGTGTTTGTTGGGGTGAGTCTCGCCAAAAGCCTTACCGCTGTCCGTGATCTCGAGGACGTGTCGGGCTGCGTGCCCCTGGGCTGCTCTCTCACCCGAGGGTCGTTCTCCTCCAGAGCAGAACCCCGGAGCCTCAGGGGCTGCCTGGGGTGTGTGTTTCAATGCCTCTGCTGTATGAATCTGCGTGTGTGTGTGTGTGTGTGTGTCTGTGTGTGTGTCTCCCATTCTCTCTTCTCTCTCTGTCTCTCACTCTCTGTGTGTTTCTTTCCCACTCTCTGTGGGTTTGTGCCAGCCGAAGTTGCGTCAGGGCTACCAGGTCGGTGGAGGATTGGGGGTGTTGCGAAATTGGCAGAAACCTCTTTGCTCCTCTGGTAGGCATTTGAAAACGTGGCTTGGGTCAGGCACAGTCGGCACCCCCACCTCCCGGTTCCCAGGTGTGGTTTGATTTTCCTTGGTACTGACAGAAATGTCACCCGTTTCCCCCTTCCACCGGCACATGCCTGGACCCCACCCTTCGTTTCGCCGTCGCCCCGTATGCCTCCGGTGACACACATTAACACCAACTGCTGTGGGATTAGCCAGTGCCACGCGTGGTCACATGGTCTCCCCCTGGGTTTCGCCTCTGTTCCTCTTTGCAGTTGTCCTGTAAAGCGAGTTCGGCTTTCCGGAACCCCTGGGCTTTTACAAGCGGGGCAGGCCACTGCACTTTCAAAGGAGGAGGGAGGCAGAGGGCTGATGGATGAGTGAATTTGCTCTGACACTAGGCCTTGAGACCTATGGGGTCATTGTGTGCTGCAGCGAGGCCCTGCCGGCCTGACCACATGTGGTGAGCCCTTCCTATGTCACTCGGAGGGGGCCAGAATGGGATCTCAACGGGAGTCCAGAGAACACAGCAGGCGTCCTGAAGCTCCCCCTCCCTTGGTGGAAGTCGGCTCAAGCAGGTCCTGAGGACAGGAGCCCTGGGGGTTTGGGCCTGGGACAGGACGAGACACCCGCGGTCCCCTCTCCCATGCCACCCCAAACAGGACCCAGGACACAGCCGCCTTAGCGGCGGCAGCAGGAGCATCGCGGCCGCTGCGTGGCGGTGGCAATATTTAAAGGGGACGCAGCCTATCTGTCAGGAGTGGAGCGTGAGTCGGCTCAGCCAATGCGCATGCGCGAGGCCCCAGCGGTTTCTCGGGTCACAGTGGTTCCCACGGTTGTCTTAGAAACCAGTCCCCGAGGCTTTGCAGAGCAGGAGCCCTCCGTGGCAGTGCTTGGGTATCGAGGCTCTGAGGCTCCGGTCTCACCTCTCCACGGGCTCGAAGGGAAACTCTCCTGATGCCAGCAGTCGCAAAGGGCCGACTATGAAGATGAAACCCCAGGTGGAGACCGGGGAACCAGCACGGGATCCCAGCCTCAGGCCTGCACGGACCGTGTTTGTTGGGGTGAGTCTCGCCAAAAGTCGCGCCGCTGTCCGTGATCTCGAGGACGGGTCGGCCTGCGTGCCCCTGGGCTGCTCTCTCACCCGAGGGTCGTTCTCCTCCAGAGCAGAACCCCGGAGCCTCAGGGGTTGCCTGGGGGTGTCTGTTTCAATGCCTCTGCTGTATGACTCTGCGTGTGTGTGTGTGTGTCTGTGTGTTTGTCTCCCATTCTCTCTTCTCCCTCTGTCTCTCGGTCTCTGTGTGTTTCTTTCCCACTCTTTGTGGGTTTGTGCCAGCCGAAGTTGCTTCAGGGCTACGAGGTCGGTGGAGGATTGGGGGTGTTGCGAAATTGGCAGAAACATCTTTGTTCCTCTGGTAGGCATTTGAAAACGTGGCTTGGGTCAGGCACAGACGTCCCCCACACCCTCCGGGTCCCAGGTGTTGTTTGATTTTCCTTGGCATTGACGGAAAGGCCACCCGTTTCCCCCTTCCACCGGCACGTGCATGGACCCCACCCTTCTTTTCGCCGTCGCCCCGTTTGCCTCCGGTGTCACACGTTAACACCAACTGCTGTGGGATTGGCCAGTGCCAGGCGTGGTCACATGGTCTCCCCCTGGATTTCGCCTCTCTTCCTCTTTGCAGTTGTCCTTTTAAGCACGGTCGGCTTTCCGGAACCCCTGGGCTTTTACAAGCGGGGTAGGCCACTGCTCTTTCAAAGGAGGAGGGAGGCAGAGGGCTGATGGATGAGTGAATTTGCTCTGACACTAGGCCTTGAGACCTATGGGATCATTTTGTGCTGCAGCGAGGCCCTGCCGGCCTGACCACGTGTGGTGAGCCCATCCTATGTCACTCGGAGGGGGCCAGAATGGGATCTCAACGGGAGTCCAGAGAACACAGCAGGCGTCCTGAAGCTCCCCCTCCCTTGGTGGAAGTCGGCTCAAGCAGGTCCTGAGGACAGGAGCCCTGGGGGTTTGGGCCTGGGACAGGACCAGACACCCGTGGCCCCCTCTCCCACACCGCCTGAAACAGGACCCAAGATGCAGGCGCTGCCGGGGCGGCAGCAGGAGCATCGCGGCCGCCGCGCGGCGGTGGCGATATTTAAAGGGGACGCAGCCTATCTGTCAGGAGTGGAGCGTGAGTCGGCTCAGCCAATGCGCATGCGCTAGGCGCCAGCGGTTTCTCCCGTCACAGTGGTTCCCACGGTTGTCTTAGACACTAGTCCCCGAGGCTTTGCAGAGCAGGAGCCCTCCGTGGCAGTGCTTGGGTATCCAGGCTCTGAGGCTCCGGCCTCACCTTTCCACGGGGTCGAAGGGAACCTCTCCTGATGACAGCAGTCGCAAAGGGCCGACCATGATGATGAAACCCCAGGCGGAGACGGGGGAAGCAGCACGGGATCCCAGCCTCAGGCCTGCACGGACGGTGTTGGTTGGGGTGAGTCTCACCAAAAGTCGTGCCGCCGTCTGTGATCTCGAGGACGGGTCGGCCTGCGTGCCCCTCGGCTGCTCTCTCACCCGAGGGTCGTTCTCCTCCAGAGCAGAACCCCGGATCCTCAGGGGTTGCCTGGGGGTGTGTGTTTCAATGCCTCTGCTGTATGACTCTGCGTGTGTGTGCGTGTGTGTCTGTGTGTGTGTCTCCCATTCTCTCTTCTCTCTCTGTCTCTCACTCTCTGTGTTTTTCTTTCCCACTCTCTGTGGGTTTGTACCAGCCGAAGTTGCGTCAGGGCTACCAGGTCGGTGGAGGATTGGGGGTGTTGCGAAATTGGCAGAAACCTCTTTGCTCCTCTGGTAGGCATTTGAAAACGTGGCTTGGGTCAGGCACAGGAGGCCCCCCTACCCCACGGTTCCCAGGTGTTGTTTGTTTTTCCTTGGCGTTGACGGAAATGTCACCCGTTTCCCCCTTCCACCCGCATATGCCTGGACCCCACCCTTCGTTTCGCCGTCGCCCCGTATGCCTCCGGTGACACACATTAACACCAACTGCTGTGGGATTGGCCAGTGTCACGCGTGGTCACATGGTCTCCCCCTGGGTTTCGCCTCTGTTCCTCCTTGCAGTTGTCCTGTAAAGCGCGTTCGGCTTTCCGGAACCCCTGGGCTTTTACAAGCGGGGCAGGCCACTGCACTTTCAAAGGAGGAGGGAGGCAGAGGGCTGATGGATGAGTGAGTTTGCTCTGACACTAGGCCTTGAGAACTATGGGGTCATTGTGTGCTGCAGCGAGGCCCTGCCGGCCTGACCACATGTGGTGAGCCCATCCTATGTCACTCGGAGGGGGCCAGAATGGGATCTCAACGGGAGTCCAGAGAACACAGCAGGCGTCCTGAAGCTCCCCCTCCCTTGGTGGAAGTCGGCTCAAGCAGGTCCTGAGGACAGGAGCCCTGGGGGTTTGGGCCTGGGACAGGACGAGACACCCGCGTTCCCCTCTCCCATGCCGCCCCAAACAGGACCCAGGACACAGCCGACGCCGGGGCGGCAGCAGGAGCATCGCGGCCGCCGCGCGGCGGTGGCGATATTTAAAGGGGACGCAGCCTATCTGTCAGGAGTGGAGCGTGAGTCGGCTCAGCCAATGCGCATGCGCGAGGCCCCAGCGGGTTCTCCGGTCACAGTGGTTCCCACGGTTGTCTGAGAAACCAGTCCCCGAGGCTTTGCAGAGCAGGAGCCCTCCGTGGCAGTGCTTGGGTATCGAGGCTCTGAGGCTCCGGTCTCACCTCCCCACGGGGTCGAAGGGAACCTCTCCTGATGACAGCAGTCGCAAAGGGCCGACCATGATGATGAAACCCCAGGCGGAGACGGGGGAAGCAGCACGGGATCCCAGCCTCAGTCCTGCACGGACGGTGTTGGTTGGGGTGAGTCTCGCCAAAAGCCTTACCGCTGTCCGTGATCTCGAGGACGGGTCGGCCTGCGTGCTCCTGGGCTGCTCTCTCACCCGAGGGTCGTTCTCCTCCAGAGCAGAACCCCGGATCCTCAGGGGTTGCCTCAGGGTTCTCAGGGTTCAATGCCTCTGCTGTATGACTCTGCGTGTGTGTGCGTGTGTGTCTGTGTGTGTGTCTCCCATTCTCTCTTCTCTCTCTGTCTCTCACTCTCTGTGTGTTTCTTTCCCACTCTCTGTGGGTTTGTACCAGCCGAAGTTGCGTCAGGGCTACCAGGTCGGTGGAGGATTGGGGGTGTTGCGAAATTGGCAGAAACCTCTTTGCTCCTCTGGTAGGCATTTGAAAACGTGGCTTGGGTCAGGCACAGGAGGCCCCCTACCCCACGGTTCTCAGGTGTTGTTTGATTTTCCTTGGCATTGACGGAAATGTCACCCGTTTCCCCCTTCCACCGGCATATGCCTGGACCCCACCCTTCGCTTCGCCGTCGCCCCATATGCCTCCGGTGACACACATTAACACCAACTGCTGTGGGATTGGCCAGTGCCACGCGTGGTCACATGGTCTCCCCCTGGGTTTCGCCTCTGTTCGTCTTTGCAGTTGTCCTGTAATGCGCGTTCGGCTTTCCGGAACCCCTGGGCTTTTACAAGCGGGGCAGGCCACTAGTCTTTCAAAGGAGGAGGGAGGCAGAGGGCTGATGGATCGGTGAATTTCCTGTGACACTAGGCCTTGAGACCTATGGGGTCATTGTGTGCTGCAGCGAGGCCCTGCCGGCCTGACCAGATGTGGTGAGCCCATCCTATGTCACTCGGAGGGGGCCAGAATGGGATCTCAACGGGAGTCCGGAGCACACAGCAGGCGTCCTGAAGCTCCCCCTCCCTCGCTGGAAATCGGCTCAAGCAGGTCCTGAGGACAGGAGCCCTGGGGGTTTGGGCCTGTGACACGACGAGACACCCGCGGCCCCCGCTCCCACGCCGCCCCAAACAGGACCCAGGACACAGCCGACGCCGGGGCGGCAGCAGGAGCATCGCGGCCGCCGCGCGGCGGTGGCGATATTTAAAGGGGACGCAGCCTATCTGTCAGGAGTGGAGCGTGAGTCGCCTCAGCCAATGCACATGCGTGAGGCGCCAGCGGTTTCTCCCGTCACAGTGGTTCCCACTGTTGTCTTAGACACCAGTCCCCGAGGCTTGGCAGAGCAGGAGCCCTCCGTGGCAGTGCTTGGGTATCGAGGCTCTGAGACTCCGGCCTCACCTCTCCACGGCGTCGAAGGGAACCTCTCCTAATGACAGCAGTCGCAAAGGGCCGACCATGATGATGAAACCCCAGGCGGAGACGGGGGAAGCAGCACGGGATCCCAGCCTCAGGCCTGCACGGACGGTGTTTGTTGGGGTGAGTCTCGCCAAAAGCCTTTCCGCTGTCCGTGATCTCGAGGACGTGTCGGGCTGCGTGCCCCTGGGCTGCTCTCTCACCCGAGGGTCGTTCTCCTCCAGAGCAGAACCCCGGAGCCTCAGGGGCTGCCTGGGGTGTGTGTTTCAATGCCTCTGCTGTATGAATCTGCGTGTGTGTGTGTGTGTGTGTCTGTGTGTGTGTCTCCCATTCTCTCTTCTCTCTCTGTCTGTCAGTCTCTGTGTGTTTCTTTCCCACTCTCTGTGGGTTTGTACCAGCCGAAGTTGCGTCAGGGCTACCAGGTCGGTGGAGGATTGGGGGTGTTGCGAAATTGGCAGAAACCTCTTTGCTCCTCTGGTAGGCATTTGAAAACGTGGCTTGGGTCAGGCACAGTCGGCACCCCCACCTCCCGGTTCCCAGGTGTGGTTTGATTTTCCTTGGCACTGACGGAAATGTCACCCGTTTCCCCCTTCCACCGGCATATGCATGGACCCCACCCTTCGTTTCGCCGTCGCCCCGTATGCCTCCGGTGACACACATTAACACCAACTGCTGTGGGATTAGCCAGTGCCACGCGTGGTCACATGGTCTCCCCCTGGGTGTCGCCTCTGTTCCTCTTTGCAGTTGTCCTGTAAAGCGCGTTCGGCTTTCCGGAACCCCTGGGCTTTTACAAGCGCGGCAGGCCACTGCACTTTCAAAGGAGGAGGGAGGCAGAGGGCTGATGGATGAGTGAATTTGCTCTGACACTAGGCCTTGAGACCTATGGGGTCATTGTGTGCTGCAGCGAGGCCCTGCCGGACTGACCAGATGTGGTGAGCCCATCCTATGTCACTCGGAGGGGGCCAGAATGGGATCTCAACGGGAGTCCAGAGAACACAGCAGGCGTCCTGAAGCTCCCCCTCCCTTGGTGGAAGTCGGCTCAAGCAGGTCCTGAGGACAGGAGCCCTGGGGGTTTGGGCCTGGGACAGGACGAGACACCCGCGGTCCCCTCTCCCATGCCGCCCCAAACAGGACCCAGGACACAGCCGCCGCCGCGGCGGCAGCAGGAGCATCGCGGCCGCCGCGCGGCGGTGGCAATATTTAAAGGGGTCGCAGCCTATCTGTCAGGAGTGGAGCATGAGTCGGCTCAGCCAATGCGCATGCGCGAGGCCCCAGCGTTTTCTCGGGTCGCAGTGGTTCCCACGGTTGTCTTAGAAACCAGTCCCCGAGGCTTTGCAGAGCAGGAGCCCTCCGTGGCAGTGCTTGGGTATCGAGGCTCTGAGGCTCCGGTCTCACCTCTCCACGGGCTCGAAGGGAAACTCTCCTGATGCCAGCAGTCGCAAAGGGCCGACTATGAAGATGAAACCCCAGGTGGATACCGGGGAAGCAGCACGGGATCCCAGCCTCAGGCCTGCACGGACGGTGTTTGTTGGCGTGACTCTCGCCAAAAGTCGCGCCGCTGTCCGTGATCTCGAGGACGGGTCGGCCTGCGTGCCCCTGGGCTGCTCTCTCACCCGAGGGTCGTTCTCCTCCAGAGCAGAACCCCGGAGCCTCAGGGGTTGCCTGGGTGTGTGTGTTTCAATGCCTCTGCTGTATGACTCTGCGTGTGTGTGTGTGTGTCTGTGTGTTTGTCTCCCATTCTCTCTTCTCCCTCTGTCTCTCAGTCTCTGTGTGTTTCTTTCCCACTCTTTGTGGGTTTTTGCCAGCCGAAGTTGCTTCAGGGCTACGAGGTCGGTGGAGGATTGGGGTTGTTGCAAAATTGGCAGAAACATCTTTGTTCCTCTGGTAGGCATTTGAAAACGTGGCTTGGGTCAGGCACAGACGTCCCCCACACCCTCCGGGTCCCAGGTGTTGTTTGATTTTCCTTGGCATTGACGGAAAGGTCAGCCGTTTCCCCCTTCCCCCGGCACGTGCATGGACCCCACCCTTCGTTTCGCCGTCGCCCCGTTTGCCTCCGGTGTCACACGTTAACACCAACTGCTGTGGGATTGGCCAGTGCCACGCGTGGTCACATGGTCTCCCCCTGGATTTCGCCTCTCTTCCTCTTTGCAGTTGTCCTGTTAAGCACAGTCGGCTTTCCGGAACCCCTGGGCTTTTACAAGCGGGGTAGGCCACTGCTCTTTCAAAGGAGGAGGGAGGCAGAGGGCTGATGGATGAGTGAATTTGCTCTGACACTAGGCCTTGAGACCTATGGGATCATTTTGTGCTGCAGCGAGGCCCTGCCGGCCTGATCACGTGTGGTGAGCCCATCCTATGTCACTCGGAGGGGGCCAGAATGGGATCTCAACGGGAGTCCAGAGAACACAGCAGGCGTCCTGAAGCTCCCCCTCCCTTGGTGGAAGTCGGCTGAAGCAGGTCCTGAGGACAGGAGCCCTGGGGGTTTGGGCCTGGGACAGGAACAGACACCCGTGGCCCCCTCTCCCACGCCGCCTGTAACAGGACCCAAGACACAGGCGCTGCCGGGGCGGCAGCAGGAGCATCGCGGCCGCCGCGCGGCGGTGGCGATATTTAAAGGGGACGCAGCCTATCTGTCAGGAGTGGAGCGTGAGTCGGCTCAGCCAATGCGCATGCGCTAGGCGCCAGCGGTTTCTCCCTTCACAGTGGTTCCCACGGGTGTCTTAGACACTAGTCCCCGAGGCTTGGCAGAGCAGGAGCCCTCCGTGGCAGTGCTTGGGTATCGAGGCTCTGAGGCTCCGGCCTCACCTTTCCACGAGGTCGAAGGGAACCTCTCCTGATGACAGCAGTCGCAAAGGGCCGACCATGATGATGAAACCCCAGGCGGAGACGGGGGAAGCAGCACGGGATCCCAGCCTCAGGCCTGCACGGACGGTGTTGGTTGGGGTGAGTCTCACCAAAAGTCGTGCCGCCGTCCGTGATCTCGAGGACGGGTCGGCCTGCGTGCCCCTCGGCTGCTCTCTCACCCGAGGGTCGTTCTCCTCCAGAGCAGAACCCCGGATCCTCAGGGGTTGCCTGGGGGTGTGTGTTTCAATGCCTCTGCTGTATGACTCTGCGTGTGTGTGCGTGTGTGTCTGTGTGTGTGTCTCCCATTCTCTCTTCTCTCTCTGTCTCTCACTCTCTGTGTGTTTCTTTCCCACTCTCTGTGGGTTTGTACCAGCCGAAGTTGCGTCAGGGCTACCAGGTCGGTGGAGGATTGGGGGTGTTGCGAAATTGGCAGAAACCTCTTTGCTCCTCTGGTAGGCATTTGAAAACGTGGCTTGGGTCAGGCACAGGAGGCCCCCCTACCCCACGGTTCCCAGGTGTTGTTTGTTTTTCCTTGGCGTTGACGGAAATGTCACCCGTTTCCCCCTTCCACCGGCATATCCCTGGACCCCACCCTTCGTTTCGCCGTCGCCCCGTATGCCTCCGGTGACACACATTAACACCAACTGCTGTGGGATTGGCCAGTGCCACGCGTGGTCACATGGTCTCCCCCTGAGTTTCGCCTCTGTTCCTCTTTGCAGTTGTCCTGTAAAGCGCGTTCGGCTTTCCGGAACCCCTGGGCTTTTACAAGCGGGGCAGGCCACTGCTCTTTCAAATGAGGAGGGAGGCAGAGGGCTGATGGATCGGTGAATTTGCTCTGACACTAGGCCTTGAGACCTATGGGGTCATTGTGTGCTGCAGCGAGGCCCTGCCGGCCTGACCAGATGTGGTGAGCCCATCCTATGTCACTCGGAGGGGGCCAGAATGGGATCTCAACCGGAGTCCGGAGCACACAGCAGGCGTCCTGAAGCTCCCCCTCCCTCGCTGGAAATCCGCTCAAGCAGGTCCTGAGGACAGGAGCCCTGGGGGTTTGGGCCTGTGACACGACGAGACACCCGCGGCCCCCGCTCCCACGCCGCCCCAAACAGGACCCAGGACACAGCCGACGCCGGAGCGGCAGCAGGAGCATCGCGGCCGCCGCGCGGCGGTGGCGATATTTAAAGGGGACGCAGCCTATCTGTCAGGAGTGGAGCGTGAGTCGGCTTAGCCAATGCGCATGCACTAGGCGCCAGCGGTTTCTCCCGTCACAGTGGTTCCCACGGTTGTCTTAGACACCAGTCCCCGAGGCTTGGCAGAGCAGGAGCCCTCCGTGGCAGTGCTTGGGTATCGAGGCTCTGAGACTCGGGCCTCACCTCTCCACGGGGTCGAAGGGAACCTCTCCTGATGACAGCAGTCGCAAAGGGCCGACCATGATGATGAAACCCCAGGCGGAGACGGGGGAAGCAGCACGGGATCCCAGCCTCAGGCCTGCACGGACGGTGTTGGTTGGGGTGAGTCTCGCCAAAAGCCTTGCCGCTGTCCGTGATCTCGAGGACGTGTCGGGCTGCGTGCCCCTGGGCTGCTCTCTCACCCGATGGTCGTTCTCCTCCAGAGCAGAACCCCGGAGCCTCAGGGGCTGCCTGGGGGTGTGTGTTTCAATGCCTCTGCTGTATGACTCTGCGTGTGTGTGTGTGTGTCTGTGTGTTTGTCTCCCATTCTCTCTTCTCCCTCTGTCTGTCAGTCTCTGTGTGTTTCTTTCCCACTCTTTGTGGGTTTGTGCCAGCCGAAGTTGCTTCAGGGCTACGAGGTCGGTGGAGGATTGGGGGTGTTGCGAAATTGGCAGAAACATCTTTGTTCCTCTGGTAGGCATTTGAAAACGTGGCTTGGGTCAGGCACAGACGTCCCCCACACCCTCCGGGTCCCAGGTGTTGTTTGATTTTCCTTGGCATTGACGGAAAGGTCACCCGTTTCCCCCTTCCACCGCCACGTGCATGGACCCCACCCTTCGTTTCGCCGTCGCCCCGTTTGCCTCCGGTGTCACACGTTAACACCAACTGCTGTGGGATTGGCCAGTGCCACGCGTGGTCACATGGTCTCCCCCTGGATTTCGCCTCTCTTCCTCTTTGCAGTTGTCCTGTAAATCATGGTCGGCTTTCCGGAACCCCTCGGCTTTTACAAGCGGGGCAGGCCACTGCTCTTTCAAAGGAGGAGGGAGGCAGAGGGCTGATGGATGAATGAGTTTGCTCTGACACTAGGCCTTGAGACCTATGGGGTCATTGTGTGCTGCAGCGAGGCCCTGCCGGCCTGACCACATGTGGTGAGCCCATCCTATGTCACTCGGAGGGGCCAGAATGGGATCTCAACGGGAGTCCAGAGAACACAGCAGGCATCCTGAAGCTCCCCCTCCCTTGGTGGAAGTCGGCTGAAGCAGGTCCTGAGGACAGGAGCCCTGGGGGTTTGGGCCTGGGACAGGACCAGACACCCGTCGCCCCCTCTCCCACGCCGCCTGATACAGGACCCAGGACACAGGCGCTGCCGGGGCGGCAGCAGGAGCATCGCGGCCGCCACGCAGCGGTGGCGATATTTAAAGGGGACGCAGCCTATCTGTCAGGAGTGGAGCGTGAGTCGGCTCAGCCAATGCGCATGCGCTAGGCGCGAGCGGTTTCTCCCGTCACAGTGGTTCCCACGGTTGTCTTAGACACCAGTTCCCGAGGCTTGGCAGAGCAGGAGCCCTCCCTGGCACTGCTTGGGCATCCAGGCTCTGAGGCTCCGGCCTCACCTTTCCACGGGGTCGAAGGGAACCTCTCCTGATGATAGCAGTCGCAAAGGGCCGACCATGATGATGAAACCCCAGGCGGAGACGGGGGAAGCAGCACGGGATCCCAGCCTCAGGCCTGCACGGACGGTGTTGGTTGGGGTGAGTCTCACCAAAAGCCTTACCGCTGTCTGTGATCTCGAGGACGGGTCGGCCTGCGTGCCCCTCGGCTGCTCTCTCACCCGAGGGTCGTTCTCCTCCAGAGCAGAATCCCGCAGCCTCAGGGGTTGCCAGAGGGTGTGTGTTTCAATGCCTCTGTTGTATGACTCTGCGTGTGTGTGTGTGTCTGTTTGTGTGTCTCCCATTCTCTCTTCTCTCTCTATCTCTCAGTCTCTGTGTGTTTCTTTCCCTCTCTCTATGGATTTGTGTGTGTATGCCCGTGTGCATGTGTGTCTTTGGCCGAATGTGCCCTGTGCGGCACAAAGTGGTTTGTCGCATGGTGGCCTGTCTTTGGCGAGCCTCTTTCTGCTTCTCTGCCTGGGTCATGAAGCCGGCTGTCAATCATTTTTGCCGCGGCGGATCCGCTTTGGGTGTGTGAAAGCCTGGCCCACGTGAGAAGACGCGTCGCTCCCGGAGCAAGTGAAATCTCATCCCCATCCTGTGCAGCCTCTTTTCTAGGATCAAGATGAACATACTGCAGCGGAGGACAAGAGCCCCAGAGGAACTCTTTGTCCCACAGGAGAGCAGCGGATCCACGCTAGAGAAGACGCTTGTATCTCTTCACGGCTCTTCTCTGAGAAATGAAGCCACTCCACGATACAGTCAGCAAGAGGAAACCGGGAATGGAAGATGGCAACAATCCCTGTCACTGGAACGCTGGCCTCTCTGGACAAGCCACCCTTTTGGAACCCCACCCCTTACACCCGTGGCCGTGGCACAGTGCTGTATCCTGCCTGTGCTCTGGCCTCTGCTCTCTCCTCCCTCTGGCTCTGCCTCCCCTATTTCTCAGGGGCCTGGATGCGTTTCGCTCTGACCGAATGCCTTCAACAAAGATGACTTCCCAGTCCGTCAAGGAGACACTTCCTGGAGGTCCGTGTCATGATCGTTTCTGTCTCCAAACCTGTTTCTGCTTAATTGGGCAGGTATCATGACCCAGGAGCTCTTGGCTTCCATACGTGTCTCAGGCAGGGAAGCTTTCTTCTTCCCCACGTTTCCCCTCATGGGTGGGTGGATTGCCTAGAATGAGTGCTACGAGACCGTGACTGGCCTTGTCTTCCAGGACAGGTGGTGTCCCATTTCCTCTGCATTTCCTGTCTCATTCTTGAGGGACATCCTCTCCTCTGCTCCTGGGTGGCCTGACTCCCTTGATCTTCTGGAAGAGCTGATGTGGGCTTGAAGCCCCAGCTGTGACAATAAGAACACAGTGACTCGTGACTACGTCTTGACTGAAATGCAGGCCTTGAATCTAATCATTACGTTGAAAAGAGGTGTTGAGCCTACGAAATGAAGGCATGTCTGGAAAAAGAGACACAGCAATATGTTACAGCCAAACTATAACCTAAATCCCACGAACGCATGTCATCCCACCTGCTATTCGTTTCTGTCAGAGCTGTCACCCAGTGATCTACAAACGAGAAAGGGGAGAAACAGCTTTGAAAAGAAATGCTACCTTTTGGGTAGTGAAGGCAGGTATGTGGCTGATACCTCATGCTCCTTGTGTTATTTCCACCCCTTCGGTGGTACTCCATGAATTTCACCCCACATCTGAGAAATGGCTGGTTCAGCAAGCTAACAGCATAGAGATCCTACTCTTTTCTATTTTAACCAAAAAAATTCCTAAGTGGTATTCCTTAAATCTTGAGCAAGTACGATTCCTTAAATCTTGAGCAAATCTTGAGAAAACTGTGTCCTACTAAAATTAAAAGGTATTCTCCTGGGAAGTGGGCCCTATGTCTATTAAACATACTTAGCAAAATCTCTTGCTGTGTCGCTATTTCCAGAAGGTCCTTAGCACTCACCAGGAACAGTGGTTGCCTCTAGGAATGAAATGGGATGACGGAAGACCTGGGGAGCCGTGGCAGGAGGAGACACTCATGATGCGCCTTTTGGCCATAGGTAGTTATTTTCCACATGCATGGAGTGCCTTGTATTGAACCAGAACTAGTAATTATAATACCTTGCATTTATATAATGTTTTGCAGCTGTATTAATGTCTTCATATCAGTTCTCTCATCTGAGTCTCTGTTGTTTGCATGAGGTTGCATTACTAGCTCCATTTTGCCACAGAGGAAATTGAATTCAAAGAATTCAAAGGGCTTTAGAGATTTACTATGAGGAAATATTGGAGGCCAAGCTAAAACGTAAGCTTCCAAACACTCAGCAAATCTTTCTTCCACCACACCACATTACTCTCAAGGAGGAGGGAGAGAAGAAATGAGGAAAAAAAGCCAAATTTTTTCCTTCAAAGGTAAGTAGTTAGAATCATCAGTTTTGGAATGTATTATCAGTAAATGAACCAAGGTGATGTTCCTGAGGCCAATTTAAAATCTAATTCAAATTATTTTAATTATTAAACAATAAGATGTCTTCCCTTTATGTTTAATTCAACAAGCATAAAGAACAGCATGAATTTTAATTATCTGAGAATAATTAGGAACATATTTCTTTCCTATCACTCTTAGGGCCAAATCACATTTCTAAAGTGAAACCTAATCTAAGAACTTTCCAATACAATATCATATAATTAGGTAATTTAAAAATATATTTTGAAAATGAAATCTCTAAGCATCATTCATTAACAGACTCTGATATTCCCTTCAGTCACTGTCATGGCTAAGAAAGCAACTCCAACCAACACACTGCAAATATGAAGGACCACGAAAGGCACGCAGGCTCTGGTTTGCATAGTGAAGATGAGCGTCTGTGTTCCTAAGCATGAAGGAGGACCACATGAGTATCCTGGACACCTACTGCATGAATGTATTCGCCCTTTCAGATCTAGGGACCTGGTAACCATTTATTATTTGTACTCTGATTTTCTTCCATTTCTTTCTCCAGTCCATAAATGTAACTTAAGTGACTTATTAACACTGATGGTTTGATCACCAATAGCATGTTCCAGTTTCAGTCTTAGTGTAGGTGCCCTTATTACAGACTTGAGATAAAGTCCAGGGCTAACCACTCTTACAAATTTACACTTTGCTAAAGGGTACCTTGGGACAGAGGGAGTGCAGAGCAGAGAAAACCTACCTGTGCAACTGAGAAGGCCGCTCAGGCCACAGGGACAGGGCAGGAATGCTCTCAGGAGTGTCCCCTGAACCTGAACTTGATTTCACGCCATCACCTTCCACCTCTTAACCAGCATCTCCTGGACAGTCAGCCGAGTGTTTCCATGATACCAGCCATACCTGATGCCAGGAGACTCGCTACACTTGGAAGCTCTTCAAGGTGGGACTTTCTGTCTTGTTCAGTTTTTCATTCTCAGTAGTCAACACAGGACCTTATACTTAAAGGAAATAAGTATAATGTCCTAACAAGTGCTTCTGGAATAAATGATCATGGCTGAAATGAGCATTTGAAATGATGATATATCTAGAAAGAACAGAAAATATACACTGGACGTATTTTAGGTGGCTGAGATTATTGAATGGGAAAATAGTGAGATCTTACAATTGAATGGGTATCATAAATGCTTCCTGTATAATATCTGATTTTGCCCTTATCACAAAGAATTCATATAACCAAAACTATATCCCTAAAAATGTCTTCCTAAACATGAAAACAAATTATTTGACTTCATAATGCCGCTTTTTACCCCAAAGTGTCTGACCCTTTCACTAAACATTACTCGGTGTTAAATAGTATAGATATAATTTCTCTGAAATTCACTGAATATGATTTTCAAATGCTGTAATTCCTAAAAATAATATCCAGGCTGCCTTTAATTTCTCATGTCAGTAATAATTAATGTCCCTACGAAGCTTATGGGCAATCAGAAACATTTGTTTATAACATACTGAAGAATTTTTAAACAACCACAGAATATGAATATAATAAGATAAAATATTAAATATTTCCAGGCATGCTTATCTTTGTGAACTGAATCTTGGAGAAGCAGGATTGAAAATAAGAGCTATCTTTGAGGCTCTAGCACCTACAAGAGACACCCTCCCTCTCCACCATGGATCACCTGTCTCACCCGTGTGAGTCTCCACACAGAAACCAGTCATGGCCCTGCCTTTGCCCCCCTTGAAATCACCCAAGAGGATGCTTCAAACTCAGGCAAGCACAACTGATACTCACTCTGCATGCAACAGCAGGGGAGTGACCTTACAAGAAACTAATGGGCCTCACTTCCTGAGAATCACTGTCAGAGCCCATAACATAAGATAAATCACAGCCAAGGATTTTTGAAAAGTTTCCTGATGAGAGAACCATGACCTTTTCAAGGGTAGTGATGGATTGATCAGGGCAAGCAATAGGTAGATTTTTTAAAACAAGCCTGGCACAAAAACAATGATATATATCTACCAAAGTTGGCTAGAATACCTGGCTGATGTCCCAGTCAGGAAACACAGGAAAAGGTTACATCTGTAGAAAAAAAACAGCTTGTTAAGCAAAACAATGCAGTCAAAAACCAAGCTCACTGTAAGAAATGCCATGTGGGCCAGTGGGGACGGCCATGCCGAAAGCGCTCAGTGCTCCTGAAGCTGGGTGGCAGGTGTTTTCACACACAAAGGCCTTCCTTGCTCGGGCCATGGGATAAGCCTTTGAGTGGAGACCTAGCAAGGAGCTTTGAAGTCTGCGTTGGGGGTGGAAGGTGGCAATCCCATTAGACAGCTCTCCCTGGCGTGAATTTATGAAGCCCCATGCAGACTGTGACTTTTAAAATAATCATTTAGTTGGTTCTAGCACATATCGCAGGTTTCATTACAGGCTGCCCCTTAACGAGCATTGTAACCTGGAGGAAAGAATCCAAATTCTTTAGTCACCACCTAACTCCACATTCATTACCTTGTTGCCCAGGGTGGAGTCCAAAAGCAGCAACTATGTTTATTTCTCCATAGAAAATAAATGTTCACCAAGGCACGTCTGTTCTATTACTTTTTTATTCTTAACTAGACCGTTAATATAATTGTTGGTTGCATTGATTTCAACTTCCCCACACGATGCAATCGGCTTTCTGCCGTATTTCAATCACACTAACCAAGAGAGACATCAGACATTCAGAATAGACTCTGGACCAAAACCGAGGGTAGGGGAGAGGTGGGCGGGCCAGGCACAGCTCTGCTGAAGCACTGGTTTGACATGTCGAGTTGAAGTGTTTCTACTCAAAACACCTGTCTCCCTGCCAAGGTGAAGGCTAGATGGTAAAAAAGAAAGTTCCCTTTTTTCTGATAAACTAGGCTGTCTCCATAGGAAGTACCCTGAAGGCCCCCAGCTCCGACTCCGAGAGCAGAGCCCAGACTCTCCTACTTTGGACGGACATGAGCTCTATGCCTCTTGGGGTTTCTCTGCCTGCCCAGTCACCCTGGATAACGTGCTTGCCCTAGATTGTCTCCTAGGCCAAGTCCTCTCCAAGTTCTTGGCCCTTTGTCCTAAGGTTGGATCTCTTCCTCTCGCTTCCCTTGCTCCGAGCTGTGTCTCTGGATACACCCCCTGCAAACTACGCTTCCTGAGCTCGGCTGGCATCTGGCTGTGTTCAGCAAATGGGAAGCCCAGACAGGGGACTGGAGAGCAGGAAGACGGGAGAACAAGGAGATTTCTCCTCCTTCAGCAGCCACAGCAGCAACGGCGTGTCCTCCACAGTTAACTGGAAGAAAAAGCCTGAGTCCTTGTCTCCTCCTGGATTGCCAAAGGGTCTTCTCCTTAGACATGTAAATACACAAATATTCGCATTTTTTAGTAACCCTTGAAAGATTTAACTGCCGGAATTTAACACCAGTAAAAACAAATGTAGCAATATGAAATTGCAACTCACTGAGGGCATTACGATTCAGAAAGTGAAGAAATGCGGGGCCAGCTCCAGCCGCAGCGCAACTGTCCACGAGTCCGGCCGCAGCGCACCTGTCCCCAAGTGTCCACCTCTAAGGCAGTGTTCTTCAACACGCACCACGCGCATCCTCAGCTGGGCATTTCCAGAGGGAGCAAGTCTCTGAGAGGCAGGTCTAGCGCTAAGCTTTCAACAAGTCGCAGGCTATACTTCCGAACACAATGAAATGAGAATGACTTCACATCTCAGCAGAGCCAAAAGCAGTAGACAAATAAACAATGATGAGATTTGTTTTTTTTTTTTCTTCCCTCTTTCCGGACACTCACTCCTGCCTCCCATCGTACCGTCCTGGAAACAGGAAGAAGGTGTGTATCTTGGTACAAGCATCAACTATGCACAGGTCCACTTTAATGGGGGAAAGGACAGGGAGTGAGATAAATAAATATGATGCGATGTCTCCAAAAGAGGAACATTATACTGGGAACATCCATACACGGTTCAAAATTGCATCCATATTTAGTTATTACTTAGAAATCATCAAGGAAATAAATGCTTTCTTTTTTTTTTCTAGGACTTCTTTAAAGAGAGGTTAGGGAAAGCTTTCAGTTATATTTTCTGTCACCTTCCGCAATTTTAAATTGGATGAAATAGTGGGAGACTTTGTTTTTATGGCTTTCTCCTTTCAACTATTGTAACAAACAGCTACCTGTGCTTAGCATGCTTAAAGGCTGGATGGGACCATCTCTATATTATGGCCCAAACAAAATTGGCTTCTGGAACAAGTGTGGCTGTTTTGAACTCGATCCACTTGAGTCGGAGATGAGGTTGACAGAGGGAGGACCAACTGTGTATAAAGCTCCTTTAGGGAATATCCTGCTAATGTGATCTACATTTCAAAGTGGAAATCAAATATTCACTGCCACTGGAGTCTTGATATTTCTAGGATTATCAAAAGTACTTTCCTCTGACACAGGAGATATCATAACTTGACTTGGGGTTGAATTCAAATGCTGCCACAAAATAGCTGTGCATGACACCTCATCTTTTTTTCATCTTTAAGACGAAGTCCTGAAATTTCAGGACACTTCCAACTTCAAAACGTTCATTCCATGCAACAGAAAGGCAACACGTT
Source organism: Homo sapiens (assembly GCF_000001405.40). Lineage (NCBI taxonomy): Eukaryota > Metazoa > Chordata > Mammalia > Primates > Hominidae > Homo > Homo sapiens. The sequence goes on along the minus strand of NT_187509.1, from coordinate 6,593 downwards.
GATGACTCCTGTCCCGAATCATATTCTATCTTGTACCTTTCTATCAGTCGGTAAAACTGCAGATGCTGACTTAGACAACAAGCTTTATATCATTGACTACCAAACAATGTCAGGTTGAACTTTGTACGAAGGGGTAGGTTGGTAAACACCTGGCCAGTGTGGTGAAGTGTGGCTGGTGTTGGAGGGAAAGGAAGAGGAGATGACAGTCACATTAGGAAGCTGCTCTGCCCTGAGATGAGCTCAGTGATTCACAAAACGCCATCGCCAAACCTGGCACCTACTGCCAGTCCCCAGTGACTCCCTGGGTAATAAAGAAATTCCGGGGCTCTTAAGAGTCGTCGTCTGTTTGAGGGGTAGCTCTAATGTGCCTAGATCTAAACAGAACCACTTAAAATGCCGACAGAATAGAGAAACCTGTAGTGGAATCCCCTGACTTCCCAGCTTTCTAGGGCCTGCTCTGAAGATTCTGGTCCTGGTCCCCACCTACAGCTAAGAATAGATTTCAGAGGCCGAGGCAGGTGGATCACGAGGTCATGAGATCGAGACCATCCTGGCTAACACCGTGAAACCCCGTCTCTACTAAAAATACAAAAAATTAGCTGGCTTGGTGGTGGGCGCCTGTAGTCCCAGCTACTAGGGAGGCTGAGGCAGGAGAATGGCGTGAACCCAGGAGGCGGAGCTTGCAGTGAGCCCAGATCTCGCCACTGCACTCAAGACTGGGAGAGAGAGCAAGACTCCAACTCAAAAAAAGAATAGATGTCAGGTGGGCACAGGATCCAAACTGTGGACTAAAGTTGCCATTAGAAGCTTGCTCTGAAATTGCTTTACAATCCTGTACTCTTTCTATCCACCAATTTTGACACCAATGGGATATGAAACTTTACGTTTAAACTCAGTATCACCCTTTCATGTGAATTCAGAAATTCCAAGTTGGTGATCATTTTTATATGACGTTAGCAACAATTAAACTAACGTCTCTTTGCCTGGACTTCTTTTCCAGAAAGTGTCCTATGTGGTGGAGGGTGGAGGAGTGAAAGGGGGCTAGGAAGAGAGTGTCTAATTTAGTCTTGAAATATTACAGTGGCTTCAATACTGTTGTGTACAGGGATCTTTACTGTTTTACATATTATTTCATGTGTACATGGGCTCAATTACTTTTGAAACAAATTAGCCAAAAAAGATAACTGATGCTTAAGCCTATCACTTAGCTAAATACATATAAGAATAGCTGTATTTCAATAGGCATGAAGACAAGAATAAGGATGAGATCATGTCCTTGGGTGAAGCAAATTTTGGCTTAATTCTCTATTGAATATTTTATCAGGGGAATCAAAAAGTTGAGAAGATTCTGTTCTGCCATGTAAACTAAAAGCCATCCAGTAGATGAGAAATTGAAAACCACAAAGCTTGGGGAAAAAAATGAATGCTTTAGAGCATACATTTTTCCATTAAATTATGCCAATAAACTTAGGACCTTGAAAGTTACTATGCTCAAATATATTTCAAAAGGAAGAAAATGCTCTTTTCAAAGTAGGGACTAGAAATTGAATGTATAGAGTAGCAAGATTTTTTAATTCCACTAGCATAAATAAACCAATTTATTACTTCCTATTAATTCAATATCAATCTGTTTGAATTGAATGTGCATTTATTAATATAGAAGATACCTTTGCAAATTACTCAATTAAAATAAAAACAAGCCTAGGTATATGACTATCTCTATATTTTCTAAGCTTTCCAGATGCATACTTGTTTTCCCACTGGTTGCATAAGAATACCAAACATTAATTGAGGGTTGTTATATCAAAAAGAGTAAGAACAACTCCTGAGATTCGAAAGCCATGGGAAGTTGCTGAGCTCAAGTCTTCATCTCATACTAGTCAAAGTTAGGGATAGTAGAAGAGGAGGGGTTGGATTGAAGTGTAGGAACCCATGTTGCTGCAATGATTGGAAGCTCCTAATTAACAGGAACTATGGAGTGGAATAAAGTGAACTTATCATGGGGACCCTAGTGTTCCCTGTAGTGCTTTCTCCTCCTCTCTACTGGACACTCTTTTTCTTCTTTGTCTTTTTCCATTCAATAAAAGCAAGCCATTTATATGATTCAATAGACTGTGGATTGAGAATCAGAATTTTGGAGTTGTTAGTAATTAACAAAGTAATTATCCAAGCATTTAATTTCACTGGACATGATAGCAGTTGAAATGATGATTTCTTGTTATTCCTTGATTCTACATTTAAAACACATTATTGTCCCATTTTATTTCAAGGAGGAATAAAATAGGAGAGAGAAATATAAAGCAAAGGGAAATGAAGAAAGAAGCTTAAAATGAAATGTGAGACATAATCCCAGGATTATCTTCAGAAAAATTCTTAAATCTTAGTTTGGTTGTGTACAGGTTAATCTATGTAGGCCCTCCTTCTGGGATTTTCTTATCTGTAATAGAAATATTGATTCCACTATGACCTCTGTCTCTCTTGGCTGTTAGAACTCCAGATGCCAATAATGCAGGAAAAGGCACAAAGTGAACATCTTTGTCAAGAGCCATGGATACAGCAACCGCTCACTATATGGTGAAGGGAATACCCTTCTCTGTAGCTAAAAGATGACTCAGTTTCTAAGTTGTTATTTCCACCAAAATATCACATTCTTCCAACTTTCCATCATCATCCACTCCTACCCCAGTGCAATTTATGCAAATGTCAGCACCCTACACCACCCCTTTCCTACACCAACACTTTCCTACACAACCCCTTTCCTACACCAACCCCTTCGTACACCAAATCTTTCCTACATCAACCCTTTCCTACAACACCCCTTTCCTACACCAAATCTTTCCTACACCAAGCCTTTCCTACACCAAGCCTTTCCTACACCAAACTTTTCCTATATCACCCCTTCCCTACACCACACCTTTCCTACACCAACCCTTGCCTACACCAACACTTTCCTGCAACACCCTTTCCTACAACATCCCTTTCCTACACCACCCCTTTCCTACACCACCCCTTCCCTACACCAACCCTTCCCTACACCACCCTTTCCTACACCACCCCTTTCCTACACCACCCCTTTCCTACACCACCCTTTCCTACACCACCCCTTTCCTATACCACCCTTTCCTACACCACCCCTTTCCTGCACCAACCCTTTCCTACACCAACCCTCTCTTCCTGCCTGCTCATCATTCCCTCTTACACGTGTGTGGTCTCATTCACCCTGTGCTCCACTCCCTATCCCTATCCCTCACATGATCTAACTTACAAACCAGGACTCCTTCTCTTTCACATGCCCCAATCCTTCCACCATCCCCACCCAAATCACCTCCCTCAATAAATACACAGAAGTTGGCCAGGAGTGGCAGCTCACCCATGTAATCCCAGCACATTGGGAGGCAGAGGCAGGCAGATCACTTGAGGTCAGGAGCTCAAGACCAGCCTGGCCAACACGGTGAAACCCTGTCTCTACTAAAAATACAAAAAATAGCTGGGCATGGTGGTGTGTGCCTGTAATCCCAGCTACTCGGGAGGCTGACATGAGAATCGTTTGAACCCAGGAGGTGGAGGTTGCAGTGAGCCGAGATCGCGCCAATTCACTTCAGCCTGGACAACAGAGCAAGAATCCATCTCAAAAAAATAAATTAAATAAATAAACAAATACACAGAAGTTATGCAGACAGCTGCACTATCATGAACAGATAACACATTAACTAACATTTTAGTAAGGACACACCGGGAGTGAGTGTTCAGTGGCTGGAGCAAAGGAAGTCATGGAAATAAGTCAGTAGAAATGTTCCAGTTTTGGAAACATGGCATCATGCATGAGATGGGATTTCCAAGACTAGGAATCAGATTTAGTTTTCTTAGGCATGCTGGGACTAAGCATCCTTTCATAACACCAGTGTTTGTGGTATTGGGAATCCCAGTGATCTCACATTGCAATCCTTCATTACCATCATGTGCAAAGCAGCTTTGAAGATGTCTCTGCTCTGAATTGCATTGTCTTCACAGAAAAGTGTGGGGAAGATCCCACTTCTGAGGCTGCAGGACACACAGAATGACCTTTCCTCTGCCATTCCCTGTACGGTGCCATTGGTTGCTTTAAACACATTTTTATTAGAATTGAAACTTTAAACATAGCCTTGCCAGTAGCTTCAAAAAGACACCAGCTAATCTACAAGCATATATGGCCCACCATTTTCTCAAATAGCAATGAGAGTAAAATAAATAGGGTAATATGGTTTATCATTGCCTCAAGCAATGTGCAGAATTGTTAATAGTAGTAACTCCTCTCCCAGAAGGAAAAGAAAAATTTAAAATACGTGAAGCAGCCTTAACAACAATAACAATATAAGCTAACAATGTATTTGTTTTTGAACATCTGCTAAATTCTTTCCCACTATTGCAGCCAGAAGCTATGCCACGCACAGCCAGATAATGTGGGCAGAGGGCACAGAGTCCAGGCACTGTTTAAATGCTGAGATAAGGGAATGTGAGTGCTTCTTTGCTTCAAATGTCCTAAATCAGCTTATTTTTAATTAGCAACAATCATCATACACACACACATTGACATTGAAGCTTCCATAATAGTGTTCTTACATTTTCAATCTGGTTAATTGAATGAGAAAACAAATTCTCCTACTAGATATGTGCTCCAAAGTGAAATTTGTGTTTTCTGTGGGATGAGGAATGCTTTCAAATGGAACATTTCTTGATTAAAGAGCCTGGACCATACAATTCATGTTGTGGGGAGGAAATGTGGCTTCAGAACATAATGAGAACTGGTTCGGTCTGCAGCTTTTCCCGTTCTCATTACGATCTTCACTATGAGAACAGATTCATATTATGGCATTTTCAACTCCTATTGTCAGCTTCTGACACAATATGAGGTATTAGGACAGTAACTGGGGTGATGCCCAGTAAGTTCCGGCCACAAATCCTACACCAATATTATGGTATGCTTCTGGAAAGAGAAAGTACTTGGACCTATTGGCAAATCCCACCAGTCACAGAGCAATAAACAGGGAAGACTGGAATACCAGCCAATCAGATCAACAGATAGGATTTTAAAACACCAAGAGCGTATCACTTTGCATCTTGGAAAACAGTGACTATTTAAATTCTGATCTTGTATTCTCTAACAAATGAGAACAATGAATGTTGCACCCCAGGACATGCTCAGGACCAAAGCACAGTTCAAATTCTGGAAGGACATCACCATGATCCTAAAGTGGGAGGAAAAGCCTCCTCCCCAGTCCTCAGCAAGGACATCACCATGATCCTAAAGCGGGAAGAAAAGCCTCCTCCCCAGTCCTCAGCACTGGACATAGCCAACAGCACACCGGAGTAGGTAGAAGGCAGCAAAATAGCTACTGAAGAGCCACACATGTTTTGGAAAGCAGGTGTATAGTTTGCAACAGTTTTCTTTCCAGAGATATGATTTCTTTTTTATATCAGAGTTTACAAATTTCAGACCCAGTGTTGACTTCACTTGTTATTAGCTTCTGTGTGCCTTTTCCTCATTCATAAAGTGAAGATAACAGTACCTGCCTCGCATACCTAACAGAATCTTGGCAAGCATTAAATGAGATGGTATATATGCAAGCACTTCGATAAGTACAAAGTGTCTTTACAAACATGACACAGTCATTTAAAAATCATCCTTAAGTTAGGCACCCACTGCAAAGTGAGGCCTTATTTGAGGATGTTGTTATAAAATTCATAACTGAGGCCTCCAATTTCAAGGCAAAGTGGTGACAGAAACCTGTGGTGTACAGAATCCCATCGAGGCAAGGGACAGGTATGGGACAGAAGGCTTCATGCACCCCTTCGGGCATGTCCTCTGCAAGCCTCCGGAGCAGGCCCAGAAGTCCTTCTTATGTGCTCTGTGATTTTTCCTTCCAACCGCTTCCCTGACATGGTTGAAAGATATGCACACCAAGGAAGATAATGCAAATGCTACGACGTAGTCACTTTGCAAATGCTGCAATGTTGTCACTCGCCACGCCAGCCAGCACTGGCTCTGGGAAAATGAAAAAGCCTCTGACACATTGAAACTTAGCAGCAACATTCTAACTGGGTTGAGGACAATATTCTTAATCCTCCCTAGAAAGATCAAATTAAATCAGCAGCAGGCTCTGCCTGACACAGCTCTGTGTCACTGACTGTTCCGAGGAGAAACCTAGAGAAGTCTGCAGCTCTTGACTTTGTAACTCGTGTCTTTCTATAGATATTCAGTGAGCAGTGATAAGACATCCCTGCATAAGGATTAGCTCAAGACAGGGAAACGCTGTTAGAGGAGAGAGGTGGAGAACAGACACACATTTTGCCTGCCATTTAATTCAGCTAAAAGCCATCAAATTTCATGGCTAAACTTCAAACATGACTCAGTCTGAGCTTTGATTTTCCTTCCCTTTTCAGCAAGGCAACACATCTGTATATTTCAGCCCAAGCAGCTATGTATTTTAGTGAGTGTATAGTAAAAGCAGATTCTATTAATCATTAATAATTCAGAAATTAGGGGTGCATCCATTAAAAGTTCTACTTAATGTCAATTAAAACTCGAGAGCAGTGGTTTGCAAACTTGACTATGC
>NT_187508.1:0-62944 GCF_000001405.40 Homo sapiens | reverse complement strand
CTGGAGGTTATATCAATGTGTCAGATACTCCACAGTCTCTCTTCTAATATTACGTGCAAAATACCCTGTAGACTAGGAAGCATGTTTGATCTTGGTTATAGGTGCAATTTATTCAACCAGCGTTCATCTATGTGCATTGAAGTCCATTATGACTACTTTTGGCATGGAGACAAACACAAAACATGGCCTCTGAAAAGAGTGTATGCTGGGATTTGGGATAAGGCATATAAAGAATAACTTTACTAAAAAGCTGAATATTACATCATATGAGTTAAACACTCTTGCCAAGAATTATCAGTAACCATAACAGCTAATGAAAGTGGATGTCACTGCAAATCAAACTAGTGGGCATCTCTTGTTTATTAGCAAAATTTTCCACATTAAAGAAACCCTTAAAACGACATTTTTACTTGTAAGATACACAAGAGACATATTTGATTTAGGAGACATTCAGAGCAGTTTTCTGCCTTTGTTGCATATGTACATCAAAGTGCTTTAGTGATAGTTGCAATTTTGGTAGTTATCTGCCAAGTTAGAAATGAATCCAAACTAGTATATTTTGACCTTTCAATTGAATTGCCACAAAGCAAAATTCACTAGTATTCAGTGCCTCCCATCAAGCGGAAATCCAAAGCATGTTTTCCCATTAAGGAGACTCCTTCTCTTCTCACAGATAGCAAATTTCCAAATGAGGAGAGAGCTGGTTGAAGGACCATGATGATGAGCCAATGATAGGTGTTATTGACCTTTCCTGAAACAGCTTGACTTCTGAACATTTTTTGAACTTATACTTATACTTGAGATACAGTAGATTTGATATCACACATTATAATGGATGGTTTTCTGATAGGACCTGACCATTTACTAGCCTACGTCCTTCTAGTTTTCTACATAAACTCTCTACTGCAGCAACTAATGATAATTATTATTATAGTTGCTAACATTTGCTGATCTTATTGTTTTCTAGGCACTGTGCTGAGAACTTCATATCCATTTATTTCATTTTATCTTGAGAGGTGACAGCGTGCTGGCAGCCCTTGCAGCCCTGGCTCGCTCTCTGTGCCTCCTCAGCCTTGGCGCCCACTCTGGCCACGCTTGAGGAGCCCTTCTGCCCGCCACTGCACTGTGGGAGCCTCTTTCTGAGCTGGCCAAGGCCGGAGCCGGCTCCCTCAGCTTGCAGGGAGGTGTGGAGGGAGAGGTGCAGGCGGGAACTGGGGCTGTTCACGGTGCTTAAGGGCCAGCGCGAGTTCCAGGTGGGCGTGGGCTCCGCGGGCCCCGCACTCAGAGCCGCCAGCCTGCCCACAAGCCCCAGGCAGTCAGGGGCTTAGCACCTGGGCCACCAGCTGCTGTGCTCGACTTCTTGCTGGGCCTTAGCTGCCTCCGGCAGGGCAGGGCTTGGGACCTGCAGCCCACCATGCCTCAGCCTGCCTACCCCCCCACCCCCCCATGGGCTCCTGTGCCGCCCGAGCCTCCCCGACAAGGGGTGCTCCCTGCTCCAGGGCTGTGCCTAGTCCCATCCACCGCCCAAGGGCTGAGGAGTGTGGTCGTATAGTGCGGAACTGGCGGGCAGCTCCACCTGCGGCCCTGGTGCAGGATCCACTGGGTGAAGCCAGCTGTGCTCCTGAGTCTGGTGGGAACTTGGAGAATCTTTATGTCTAGCTAAGTGATTGTAAATACACCAATCAGCACTCTGTATCTAGCTCAAGGTTTGTAAATACACGAATCAGCACCCTGCATCTAGCTCAGGGTTTGTGAATGCACCAATCAGCACTCTGTATCTAGTTAATCTGGTGAGGACTTGGAGAACCTTTATGTCTAGCTAAGGGATTGTGAATGCAACAATTGGCACTCTGTATCTAGCTCAAGGTTTGTAAATGCACCAATCAGCACTCTGTGTCTAGCTCAGGGTTTGTAAATACACCAATCGACACTGTACCTAGCTAATCTAGTGGGGATGTGGAGAACTTTTGTGTCTAGCTCAGGGATTGTAAACGAACCAATCAGCACCCTGTCAAAACTGACCAATCAGCTCTTTGTGAAACAGACCAAACGGCTCTCTGTAAAATGGACCAATCAGCAGGATGTGGGTGGGGCCAGATAAGAGAATAAAAGCAGGCTACCTGAGCCAGCAGCTTCAATCCGCTGGGTTCCCCTTCCACACTGTGGAAGCTTTGTTCTTTTGCTCTTTGCAATAAAGCTTGCTACTGCTCACTCTTTGGGTCCACACTACCTTTATGAGCTGTAACACTCACCGTGAAGGTCTGCAGCTTCACTCCTGAAGCCAGCGATACCAGGAGCCCACCAGGAGGAACGAACAACTCTAGACACACTGCCCCAAGAGCTGTAACACTCACCGCGAAGGTCTGCAGCTTCATTCCTGAGCCAGCGAGACCGCAAACCCACCAGAAGGAAGAAACTCTGAACACATCCGAACATCAGAAGGAACAAACTCCAGACATGCCACCTTTAAGAACTGTAACACTCACCTTGAAGGTCTGTAGCTTCATTCTTGAAGTCAGTGAGACCAAGAGAACCCACCAATTCTGGACACAATCTTATACCACAGAACTGTAAGTTCTATTCTTCTTCCAATTTTACAAAACAGAAACAGACAAACAGAGGTAATTCTCTGAAAGATGTCTCTCTCAGTCCATTTCTGCTGCAATGTACCTTAGACTAGGTAATTTATAAAACAACAGACATGTATTGCTAGTAGTTTTGGAGGCCAGAGGTCGAAGCTCAAGGCAGCAGTAGACTCGGTGGCTGCTGAGGGCCCATTCATCATAGATGGAGTCTTCTGTATGTCCTCATATGGTAGCAGTAAACTCGGTGCCTGCTGAGGGCCCATTCATCATAGATGGAGTTTTCTCTATGTCCTCATATGGCAGAAGAAAGAAGCAAGCTCTCTCAGACCTTTTTATAAGGGTACTAAACCCATTCATGAAGGGTCCACCCTTATGACCTAGTCACCTCCTAGAGACCCCACCTCTTAATGTTATTGCATTGGGAATTAGGTTTCAATGTATGAATTTTGGAGGAATGCAAACATTCAGATCAGATCTGTTTGACCTCACAGCCAAAACTGGCAGTGGAATTTGCATGTTGTTCCTGGAACATATCTAGTAATTTTCCATCTCTATACATTTTCTATGCTGTTTCCTCTATACTGAATGATCCATACTATCCGTTTAACTTTGTATCTTTAAAGGCTTGTGTGTGTGCCCATCTATTTTGGTGAGGTTGTTACCAAAACGCCATGGGTTTGGTCTAGGTCCTGCTTGCTGCTCACTGCACAGAAAGCCAATCACTGAGATGGTGAGTGTTTCCGGGGAAGAAGCTTTCATCCGGTGCTGCAGCTGAGGAGATGGGAGCTCAGCCTCAAATCCATCGCCCTGACTGACTAAAAATGGGGTTTTATACAACAGGCAAGAAATGTAACAATGTGTAGGAAACACGAACTAGGGAGGAACAAGGAGTCATCTGGTGGCCTCATCTGGTGAGTTTCAGTTCTTTAATGCTTTTTTTTTTTTTTTTTTTTTTGAGAGGCCTGAAGGTCCTTTCCTGAGGAAAGAACACAGATGAAACAAATACAAGTTTCAAGCTTTAAGAGCGGAAGAGTCAATGTCTATGTTTATACGAAAGAACACGCTATAGGAGTATTGGGCCGGCTTCAGGGTCAGTAGGATCTATTCCAGAATTACAAACATCGTATATAAACCCCTAAGTCTAACCAGTGTTTTGAGTTTTTCACTTATCTTATGTGTAGCCACCATGCATGTAACATTAAGACATCAATTACATGTGTATGCTTTTGCCTCTTGTTAATTTTTGTTGCTGTTGTTTTTTCAATTTAATTCACAGGCTCCAGCACAAAATGTAAGATGGGATAGGAAAAGCTTTTTTCCTACCCAACAGAATGCTGAAAATGTAAATATTTTTTCTTTGGTTTACAGTAATAAGGAGTGTGATTCCTTTTTTTTTTCTACCTCTTCTACTTCTACGTTTTAAGAGCTCTGTAGCTTAGTGAGCTCCCAGGCTTATGAACACCCTGACACAGCTAGTCTTGAAATGTTGCCAGCATTGTAGGATTTGCATACTTAACATGCTACTTATACTGCCATAAAGTATGTAAGGTGGAAAGGATATTGTCTTTTAGTGTGGGTACATAGAGCATGGCACGAGTCGTTGCCAGCCTCACATCACATCTGTCTTCTGATTTTATACTTTATATCCAGGATCATACAGTCAAGTTTAGACATTTTAAAAAATCTTATTTCTATATTACTAAACTATTCATGGAGCCAGACTCTTCTAAGTTACTCTGGGAAAATGCCTTAGGCCTTCCAAGGACACAAAATTTTCATTCTTATAAAAAGCATTTGGCTAGGAATCAGAAGACCTACATTTTCATTCAAGAACTGGTACTAGTTTGTGTTGTGATTTTAGGCAGATCCATTATTGTCTCTAAGCCACAATGTCCTGAACTCCAAAACCACAGCATTGGCCTAGATGGTTTCTTAGGCCTCTCTTTGTGTCGGGAATTGGTGAGTTCTTGGTCTCACTGACTTCAAGAATGAAGCCATGGACCCTCGCAGTGAGCATTACAGTTCTTAAAGGCGGTGTGTCCAGAGTTTGCTCCTTCCTCTTGTCTGGAGTTGTTCATTCTTCCTGGTGGGTTCGTGGTCTGGCTGGCTCAGGAATGAAGCTGTAGACCTTCGCGGTGAGTGTTAGAGCTCATAAAGGCAGTGTGGACCCAAAGAGTGAGCAGAAACAAGATTTATTGCAAAGAGCAAAACAACAAAGCTTCCACAGTGCAGAAGGGGACCCTAGCAGGTTACCACTGCTGGCTCAGGCAGCCTGCTTTTATTCCCTTATCTGGCCCCACCTACACCTTGCTGATTGGTCCATTTTACAGAGAGCTGATTTGTCTGTTTTACAGAGAGCTGATTGGTCCGTTTTGACAGGGTGCTGATTGGTGCATTTACAATCCCTGAGCTAGACGCAAAAGTTCTCCAAGTCCCCACTAGGTTAGCTAGACACAAAGCACTGATTGGTGCATTTACAAACCTTGAGCTAGACACAGGTTGCTGATTGGTGCATCCACAATCCCTTAGGTAGACACAAAGATTCTCCAAGTCCCCACTAGACGCAGGAGCCCAGCTGGCTTCACCTAGTGGATCCCGCACCTGGCCTCAGGTGGATCTGCCTGCCAGTCCCACGCCATGCGCCTGCACTCCTCAGCCCTTGGGTGGTTGATGGGACTGGGAGCTGTGGAGCAGGTTGCAGTGCTCCTCGGGGAGGCTCAGGCCTTGTAGGAGCCCATGGCAGGGGGGAAGCTCAGGCATGGGAGGCTGCAAGTGCCAAGCCTTGCCCCACAGGGAGGCAGCTGAGGCCTGGCAAGAATTTGAGCACAGCGCCAGTGGGCCAGCACTGCTGGAGGACTCAGTGCACCCCCTGCAGCTGCTGGCCCAGGTGCCAAGCCCCTCACTCTCTGGGGCCAGCGGTGCTGGCCAGTCGCTCCGAGTGCGGGTGCAATGCCCACAGCAGACCCGGTTCCCACCCGTGCACAGCAGCCCCTGTTCCCTCTGACGCCTCTCCCTCCACACCTGTCCACAGCAGAGGGAGCTGGCTGTGGCCTCAGCCAGCCCAGAGAGGGGCCCCCACAGTGCAGCAGTAGGCTGAAGGGCTCCTCAAATGCGGCCAGAGTGGGCGCCGAGGCCGAGGAGGCACCAAGAGCCAGCCAGGGCTGCTAGGGCTGCCAGCACATTGTCACCTCTCATCTTTAATACAAATTTTGCTATATGCTCTAAGGCTACAATTTTGTCTTGTTACTCTGGTAATAATACACTTTCAGGCAGTAACTTGAAAGAAAATTCAATTTTCATAAAGTCTCCGGAAAACTGGAGAAAGAGAGAATTTTATTTCAGTATTGTTGTCCTGTGGATTGGAATATGTTCTAACTCACATCATAATTCTTGAAACATTATAAAATATAAAAGCTTAAACTAATATGTTTAATTGACTCCAAGAGCATTAATGAAAAGTATATAAATAGGAATACAGATGTAGTAATAAAAGAGAATTATCAGTCACCCTTAATTTAAGTGGTGTCTCCTTAGCTTTTAGAAGGGTAATAGGTAAAGACTGTTGTGCTCAGAACACCAGAAATCTATTCGAACTAGGTGAAAATTTGCTAGTGAAGGTATTTGTGAAAATAGAAATGCAGCTTATGTAAAACCTATTCACTTACATATGCCCACAAATACAGAAACATCTGAATGCTCAGTTTTAACCTATTCCTCAGTAGGTTAAAGTGCTCTGGGCTTACTTGTCTCTTCCTCTTGACTTGGAGAGAAGAGAAGCCTTTGCTTTTACTCGGCATGAAGGAACCTCAGGATAGTCACATCTCAACTCTTAGATGCCTGAGAGCTTTGTAATGCAAATCAGGCTGCTCCTTTTTTCTTACCAGCAACTTAATTTGGGACAGGATTGATTGACTAGAAAGTTTGCTAATCAGTTTGAAACAAAACTAGGCTGGGGGCCAATGGAAGTTTGCCAGAACCTCCCTTCCGAAGACAAGGTCGACAGCTGGTCTCACTTTGGAAATGCTTTTGCCCATTATCTTATCATTTGGTCCATTTTATATGGTCCACATCTCAAATTACAATGTTTATTTTGAAGGCACTCCAGAGAAAAGAAAGAAAAAAAGACACCACACATGACTTAGAGAACAGATTTTATAATACTTTGAAAATGAGGTACCTCGTTGTAAATTTAAAATCCGCCTCCTGATTGTTTTAGAGTTGATAAGTATATTGACGGTTGTGAATGACTGCTGAGCTGTGGCTTTTGGGTGTAGCGGATGTGACAACTTTTGTTGGTGAAGCAAAGAAAACAAGTTTGATTTGACCATGAGAACATATGAATTCCTGAACTGTTAAAAATAATAACTCTTGTTTGTGTCATTCTCCAAAGTTTTAAAATAAAATTATATCATTGTGCCCAAACCAAAAAGTTCTGAAGTCATTGAAGTGACGGAATCATAGGATGCACTGCAGGGGCTGAAATTCCAAACCTTGTAGGGACAGGAAGGTAACGTGAATGTATGAATCGGACTAAATGTGGATAGCAGGGAAGAGTGGGTTCTATGGAAAACTAGAAAGAATATGCTTCTAAGGATGTTCAAATTTGGATTTAGAAAACAAATACCAAGCCTGCAAAACAAGAGACCTGGAATAAATTATCAGCTTTGAAAAAATCAGAGTTTGAAAAAATATATTAATTCTTATTTCAGAGACATCCATGTAATTTAGTGTCTTTCACAAGGCAGACAAAAAGAGCTTAGGAGAGAGAGACAAAGGAAAATAGAAACAAACAAAAGGTGTTAAGCTTCTAAAAAACAGGCACTGTGTTGGGCTTTGAACATATAGAATAGCATGAATTCTCACCATGACTACCTGCAGTAGCCAGTATTATTCCCACTTCATGGATGAAAGATTCAATCTTAGAGAGTTTACGTAACTTATAACAGTAGAAAAGCAAGATTTTAATTACAAATCCTATGTTCTCTTCTCTATACTAAATGTATGAACTCAAGCAAGTTATTTATCCTTTTTATTCTTCATGTTTTAATGGGCATAATAATGGTTTATTCACTAGAATATTTTAAGAATTAAAAAAGTTAATAATTGTAAAAATTCTCACAGAATTTTTTTTATGTTTGTTGAATATGAAAGTATGATAATTACTTTTGTTGAGCAACTATCAGCATAGCAGATGTTTAAACTGTTTCTGCAGAGGGATTTGGGCAAGACACCTTTTATTCTTATACCTGGGTTTTATTGTGAAGTTATATCCAGTTAAGCTTGCAAGAATTTGGAGTGCAGCCTGCAGTTGTATGATGGCTGAGGAATACAGGAACATTGTGGTTACTGTAAACATGAGAGTAATAACTGCAAACTAAGGAATAACAGTATATCAATCAGGATCCTCCAAAGAAACAGAAGTGTGTGTGTGTGTGTGTGTGTGTGTGTGTGTGTGTGTGTGTGTGTGTAGAGAGATTAATTGCAGGGAATTGGCTTCCACAATTATAGAGGCTGAGAAGTCCTGTGATCTCTAGTTGGCAAGCTGAAGCCTGGAGACCTTGCAGAGCTGATGGTATAGTTCCAGCCTGTCTGAAGGCCTGAGAACCTGGAGGGCTGATGGTGTGATTTACAGTTCAAAAGCCAGTGCGCTCAAGACCCAGAAGATCTAATGTTTCCATTTGAGTCAGAAGCCAGGAAAAGACTGGTGATGTTCCAGCTCAAGCAGCCGGGCAGAAGGAGTTCCCTTGTTCCACAAGAGGGCCAGACATTTTGTTTTATTCAGGCCTTCAGTTGGTTGGATAAGATTCACCTACATTAGGAGGACAATTGGCTTTACTCTATAAATTTAAATGTTAGTCTCCTCCTGAAACTCTCACAGCCCTCACAGACATACCAAGAATAATGTTTGGCTTAATATCTGGGCACCCTGTAGCCCAGTCAAGTTGACACATAAAAGTAATCATCACATATGGTAATATGTAATAGGATAAGCTGTAATGAGTTAGGAAATGGTCTGATGTTAACAAAATAATAAAGAAAGCAAATGTGTTGAATGCCTGTGGGAACTTGTAACGAGATAGTCATGCACATGGTGAAGAAATTTGTTAGCTGAAGAAGTTCAATACACTGGCTCCTCCAAGATAACTTTCCCACAGAAAACTTTGGGAGCTACTCAGGTATTGCATCCTCTGGGAGTAATTAACTATTCACTAACAGGAGGTTTGCGTGTAACCAGCAACAGCAGGTAAAATTTCAGGTGCTTCTATCAAAGAACTAGAGAGATAGCTCAGCCACTGCTAGATCCTGTGCAAAGATCCCTGGAGAATGCACCTTCCCTGAGGGATGATGTGACACTTACAATATACACTGATGTATATTGTATATGTTTTATTGAGTTGGAGCCAGATGGGGTCTATTTACTCCCAGTTGATTTTCAGGATCATCATTTTTATATATTCTCAACAAACCTGTCCCTCTCTCTCCTCGTGGTAACCACCTGGCACAACTCTATCCCTTGTAAATCCAGCTCTCCACAGAGCTGAGTGTGGCTGGAGAAGCCCACAGTGACGCTGATTGCTCTTCCCTTACATTTGTGATCACTAACCGGGGCTGGCTGCCTGATTTGCAGGGCCCAGGGCAAAATGAAAGTGTGGGGCTGTTAATTCAGAAGACATTTTAAAAAAGCCTCATTAAATGCACTAAAATCTAAGGTGTTTTCATTTTAAAAATAATTTGTGACTTATAAACCATAAAACAGGCAACAGTGACACACGAGAAATAACATAAACTTACAAATTGCAAAAATTATGTGTGACTCCACAGTCACACACATTAAGCCACCAATGCAGCTGGCCCTGTCGCTAACCGCTAGTAGGCTCCTAGCACACCTGCCATTCCAATGCCTTCCCTCGCTCATTCATGTTTCTGGGAGGCTCCTTCAGATTCTCTCTCCTCTTAAGCCTCTAATGTTTTCTCTCCCATCCTCACTCTCAGTTAATGACTTTGGGGTATATGTCACTGAAAGAAAAACAAATTTAAGCCAAAACCAGAATAAGATGAGAGCTTCTGCAAACTGCTACTTCCTCATCACCCCCCACCTGGCTCTATGTCCAAACACTGTCTTCCTTTTTGTTACCCATAAGTTAAACTGGAGCACTAAATCCCAATATCTCTCTCGAATTTCAGCAATTCTCCTTCTACCTCCCACAATGTCGACTTTTCTGTCTCTACTGGAGTGTTCCTATCAACATGCACAGTTGAATTTTCCCATCTGGCACTACCTGTCCTGATCTTATGTTCCTTTCAAACTACTGCACTATTTCTGCTTTCTTCAGAGTGAAATTCTTTGAAAGTGTTTTCATATTTACCATCTCCAATTTTTGTCTTCATTCTTCCTCTTAGATCCACTAGGTCTGACAGTTTCCTCTGTCCTTTCACAGAAACTGCTCATTTCAAAATGTGAATATCTTCCATGTTGTTACAGCCCATGATCGATTCTTAACCCTCTTCTCACTTAGCCATGAATAGCATTTACACAGCTGGTTGTTGCCTGACCCTCAAACACTTTCTCACTTGGCTCCATGACCCCACAGGCTTCTTGGCTTCCTTCCTTCATCTTTGGCCTCATTTCTCCCTCTGCTTTGCTGGTTCCTGCTGTTCATCCTGTCCTTTACACACTGCAACAACTTAGGGGCTAGTCCTCTGACATCTTCTCTACCCGCATGTACTCCCTTAGGGATTTCAAACAGTCTCATAGCTTTAAGCACCATCCATACACTGACGACTCCCAGATTCAAAGGTTTAGTCCAGACCTTACCCTTGAACTCCAAATGGGTATACCCACGTACCTAGGAGATAATCCTTACACTCCCTTCTTTCTCCACTATGCTTAATTTAATCTGTCAGAACGTCTGTGATTCTATCTTCCAAATAGATCCATAACCTGACCCTTCTTCACCACTCATCTTGCTACTCCTGGTCCAAGTCACCTCCACCTTGCACTTGGATTATGGCAACAGTCTCTTAACTGTTCTCCCTCTTCCATTGGCTCTTCTTAGTCTTCTATTCATTACATAGGGATCCTGTTAAAAGACAGGTCTGGTAATATCAGTCCTTTGTAAACATGTCCAATGGCTTCTCACCACAATCAGTAAAAACCAAAAACCCTCCATCTGGTGGCCCCCAGCCCCTTCCTCCTCCACCTCACATGTGCTTCCTTTGCTCACCCTCTCTTGACTGCTTGCTGCTCTTCAAACATGTTAGGTTATGCTCCTTCCTCTAGGCCTCTGTCTGCAACATCCTTTCTCCAACATCTTTGTGGGTGGCTCTCTCACTTTTACAGGTCTTGCTCATGGACCTTCTGGCAAGCCCTTCCCTGATCACCATGCTTGCATGGCAGGCTGGCACTCTGTCTGCCCTGTTTAGTTTTCTTCATGAGAACAGAAAGTCCTGTTTGTCTTCTTTACTGCTTTATGACCAGGGCCTAGAAGCACTTGGCACAACTAGGCATTCAGTACAGATTTATTAATTGAATGACTAAATAGCAGTTGTGAATCAGAACACAATGGAATCTATATCTCCAAAACTTTGTGATGAATAAAACTGGCTAAAATATGAGAATTTTATGTACCTTAGTCACATATCATAAGATTTTCTAAGTAGAATTCATACTTGGTTGTATGTCCTAAGATCTTTTTAGGGAGGTTTCCTCTTTCTAAGGGGATTCAAAGATATCAGTGAAACCTGAAAATTGTCTTGGGTTAAGTAGTGCATTGTGGAGTACCAAATGGCATGAAAGAACAAAACTGCTGTCATTGTGACTGCCATAGTCAATGTCAATGTTGGATATGACTGCATGAGCTGACAGCCCCTGGAGCATGTGAAATATATGAAATGCACACTGGACATAACAGAGCATTTTTGCAGGGAGCTGGACCAACTCTTTTATATGACTAAGATGCTATTTGCAATTTATATAAAGGAAAAAAGCAAATATGCTCCATGCAGTGCCTAAAAGAGCCCTAGTGGCTTCCGGGTAGAAAGCCATCCCACTTCTCTTCAGCAGAGCATGAAATCAACCTACTACCTTTTATCAGGTTACTTACATAAAGGAATTGTGCCTATTAATAAAACATCATGCATCTTATTTCTCCAAGAGCAATGATAACCAAACTCTCCTTTCCCGTTCCCTCTTCCTTCCTTCTCTGGGGTCACTTTTTGCTGCCCTGTGTTCTGTTCAGCATGCATTGGCCATGAGGATCAGATTGTTAGTCCAGATGACTTTGAAGTAGTTTTTCTTATGGTAAGGTTTTCTCCTAAGTCTGTAGCATAGAATCCTTGTTTTTGGGTTGATCCATGCTTAACCTGAAGATGATAGAATGCAAATTCTGCTTTATATTTGTGTATATAAATATTGCATCAGTCACATGTCCATTTTGGTGGCAACATCGTCTGTGGTTTTCTTAGCTGCCCTGGGATTGAATTTGCTTAATCATGTTCCCTTTTCTTTCAGGTTGTGCTTGGCTTCTTGCTGCCCACACCTACTCCATGATTTCATGCTAATTTCTGCCCTTCTTCTCAGTTAGTGAAAGCTTCCCCGCACTCATTATCAGCACACTTGAATGTCCACTTAGTGTCAGACATACAATTTTTAAAGTGAGAATTTCGTCCAGGACTTTTACAAAGCCTCTCATGTGGCCACTGACTGCAGTTAAAAAACTAGCCTGTTAGAATGGTCACCTTGACATCATAGTCCAAAAGTGTCCCAATAATGGATGTGCCAAAAAATTCTGAAACCATCATAGGAGTTAAAAAATGAGAACACCAGCCCACAAAGAATGGTATCACCCAAACATTTGGACCAAGTCCACAGTTTTTATATTTTTGTGCCACATAGCATAGACAGCCTAATATATTTAAAGTAACACTTAAAATGTACTTTAGGGATTCAAATTTTAGCTGCTTGTTTCTATTTGCTAATACAGAACATAAATTTTGAAAAAATAAACTTTTAATTGAAAATTTTACAAAAAGTGAAATAAAAAACTGCTTATATTTCCATCCAAGGGAAAGAAGATACACATAGTAAATACTTTAAAAGTATGTATATTCTTTCACCCACTTTTAGGATTTATCCTAAGTATAACTAGCTGTTTTATAAAGATGTTCATCATCATTATTTAGAGTAAGAAAAAATGAACCTAAATGTTGACAGATAAAATTCACGGAGTGAGCTATGGTGCATGCACACAGTGGGGAATTATGCAGTACTGAACACTATGTTTAAAAGCATTTTTAATGGCATGTCAAACACTTATTCTAATATGGAAAATACAGTGACTTCGTGGATATACAAAAACATCCTCATTTTTGTGTAATCGTGTATCATATATGATCCTAAGTACGTAATACTAAACATGAGAAAAAATGCTTGCTAAAAACAGACCAAAATGTAGAGGGCTGCCACTGTGTGGTGTGATCAGGTGACTTTTTGCCTTTTAATTTATATTTTGTTGGCACAGAACATTGTTCTCATGTGCCCGAAGAGATTTAAAGATGATCTTGAGATGATTAGCCTCCTCTCAGAGTCCTGCCGGGGTAGATAACAGGGAAGATTGGGGCAGGTCAGAGGTGACTCTGGGACGTTTGTGCTTGGTGCCCTGCTGCAAGGGACAGCAGCTCTGCAGCTCCAGCCCACTGTTTGTCACAGGTCCTTGGTGACTGTCTTACCAGTTATTTTCAAATTCAAGATAAAATGGAGATACAGACTTTCACATAAAACTTTCTACATTTAACTACCAGCAATTACATTTTTTGTCATAAAACAAAGGGTAGGTCAAACAAAACGTCTTAAGAGTAAATCTGTCTACAATGTGTTCAGGAAACGAACACAGGTCAGGCTTATGTGGAAGATATCCAGGGCGTAGCACATCTGCTGGAAGCATTTCAGTCATGAGCACAGCTGGGTATTGGCCGTGAACCTGGTGTGCATTGAATACACATCCCCGTGGCCCCTACAGTGCATTCCCTGTGGATAGTTTATTAGGTTTCCTTTATTCCCTTCATCTATTCTTCCCTTTCCTTTCCTTTCTTCCTTCCTCTTTTTTTGCCTCCCTCTCTCTCTTCCTGTCTTTATTAAATATGTGGGATGCAGATTTGATGAATATGTCAATCAAAGATCACCAAGAAGTCTTAAAACAGGTAAACCACAGAAAACAGTCAGGATCAGAATAAGAACAGTTTAGTGGTTCTCAAGCTTTTTGTTCTCAGAACTTCTTTATAATCTAAAATGTGTTGCGCCCCCTGAAAAGCTTTCACTTTTATGGGATAAAAATAAATATTTATAAAATATATAGTAAAAAATATAAATATATAAATAAATTTATGATTTGTTTATATAAATATGTATATAAAACCATATTTATCATATTAAGATTTGAAATGGACAAATATTTAAAATATTTATTAGTTAATTTTAAATAATTACCAACCTTTCAAATAAATAACATTTTAATGAAAATTAAAAAAAATTAAATTCCGCCTGGCGCAGTGGCTCATGCCTGTAATCCCAGCACTTTGAGAGGCCGAGGTGGGCGAATCATTTGAGTTCAGGAGTTCGTGACCAGCCCGACCAACATTGTGATACCCCATCTCTACTAAAAATCCAAAAAAATTAGCTGGGTGTGGTGGCATATGCCTGTAGTCCCAGCTACTCGGGAGGCTGAGGCAGGAGAATTGCTTGAACCTGGGAGGCAGAGGTTGCAGTGAGCCAAGATCGTGCCATTGCACTCCAGCCTGGGAGACAGAGCAAGACTCTGTCTCAAAAAAAAAAAATTAAATTCCAATTTAATTTTTATTTTAATTTATTTAGTTCTAAAATTATATTTAATTTTGTAATTTATTTTAATTGTATATTAATCACATTTATTTTAAAACCAAATAAATGTGTTGAGAAGAGAGAAATTGTTTTACATTTTTGCAAATCTCCTTAATGTGTAGCTTAATAAAAGATAACTGTACTATTCTGTTTCTGCATTTAATCTGTTATGAAGTCACCTATCATGAATCTTCTGGAAAATTCCACATATATTTGTGAGAGAATGAGGGTAAAAATGGCGAATAACATATTAGTATTATTATAAAAGTCATTTTGGCCTCCTGTTGCCACTGAAAAAGTCTCAGGATGTCCCAGGGGACTATGGCCCACACTTTGAGAATCAATGTTCAGGCTCCTTTCTGAGCTGATTATGTAGCTGAGCACGTTGAACGTCATGTGATTGAGAACCTGCCCCTTCCAGCCTTCATCTCTTCCATTAGCTTCCCTAAACCATTCATTTTTTAGGGCATTATTTTCTATCAAATATAAACACCAGTGGAAGAGAGAACACATGAAGCCATTAGTAGTTTAATGCCTTAATGTGAATAAATTTACTTCATTTCAATTTGAGAGTCCATGGGGTCACAAAGGAGATGAAAGAGAAAGTACAAGAGCCAGACATAAGGTTGGAAAGAACCCTGTCCCCAGTGAAAGGCCAATTTTTTCTTTCACAGCATCATCTTGGAACAACCTGCTTTCTGGATTCTTAGCTCACAGGTTTGAAAAGGAGCCATTCCCTGATCTATTTTAATTGCTTATCTTCAAAAACTATCTGAACTAAGGTACCCTGTGGCTACTACCTTCCAATTTAGGACTCAGGTTTCCAGGAAAAGAAAAGAGTTACAACTACTAATAAAAGTCAGTCAAAGTAACTGCTCCTCTTTGAAAGTCTCAGCTCTTATTTTAGATATGGGGGTTCACATGCAGGTGTGTTACATGGGTGTATTACACCCAGCTAGTGAGTATTGTACCCCTGGGTAGTTTTTCAATGCATGCCCCTCCCTTCTTTGGCCCCCGCAGTCCACAGCGCCTGTTGTTCCCATGTGTACGTCCATGTGTGCTCAATGCATAGCTTGGAGCTCCCACCTATAACTGAGAACATGCAGTGTTTAAATCCCACTAATTTCTATGAAAAAGTATTTCTGTTGATAACCCTGCAGGAAGCTCTTTATTAATGTCTTCATCCTTTAAACCTACTTAGCCCTATGCTGGTTTAGTCACCTGTACTTTTTTAAAAAACTATTTTTTTCTCTCATTCTGACTTACTTATCCTTACATGCATTGCTATTTCTTCATTCCTAAGGAAGTACGCATTCGATTTAAGCATCTGTGCTAAGACATCCTTGGAAATTAAATTCTAGTCTTTTTTAATGGGGCAAAATGGAAATATAATCTCAGGTAATGCTTTCCATTTCAGCTTACTGCTGGTTTTTGCAGATGGAATTATAAACATACTTAATCAGAGGGAAATTCCAATAAACTTTAGCCACAGTATATTCGTGCCTTTGCATGGGAAGAGTTGATCTCTCCTCAAGCTAGCTGCAGCCTGCGTCTTCTGAGGGAAGAGCTGTCTTCACTTGCGTGGGATGAATTTGAGAGATCACTGGCCTTGCCGTCTGAGAGTGCGGTCCCTGAGCTGGGAGGATTCTGCCGAGATTAGGTCATGCAATCAGCCTGAGGTGCCACCATGGGGGTGAGCTCAAATTATAGTTTTGGGACCATGCCTGAGTTTAGTCAGCAAAAGTAATTCACACCAGAGGGGGAATGTGCAAGAGGTCAATAACAGAATGAGAAATCAGGGGCAGGGAAAATGCAGGTTGTGAAAGACGATGAAGTGATGATTAGAGGCAGGCTAGGGTGGCCTACCAATGGTGAAGTCCTGGGAGTGAAGAAGACGTTTGCTTCATAAATAAAGCAAGCCTTCTGTGCTGCAGGAGAATCAACTGTTGAGAGGGGTGAATGGATGCAGAGTAGTTTCCCTGTTACCACGTCCAAACAGATGTTTATTTGCTGGTAACTGCCATTTCAAAAATACCACCGGAATACTCATTATTTAAATGTTTTTGTTACACCACAACTTTGGAAAACATCTCTAAGCCAGGCATATAAGCCAAGGTTACATAGTATGTCAGGAAAGGTATAACCATTAAATTAATTAACTGTGTTTTGTCTATGATTTTTAAGAAAAAAAATCTATATTTTCTGCGAGTAGTGAGCAATACTTATCAATTGGTTAGTCACTTGTGTCTGCGAGTTTCATCACCAGCATGATCGGAAAGGTATCTCCCCTCAGCTTCATTTGCAAGGAGGCCTGAGTCGCTCTCAGCCTCCCCCATTTCTGCGCTGCAGCTTCTGGGGAGCCCCTGACACCACAGACCCCAGAGCAGCCCCTGCTGACAGCGTGCCTGCTCCGGACAATCCCGAGCTAAGGATCTGTTAGTATTAACTGGGATTTTCTGTCTCGTATAATGCATGGAGCAGTGTTTCTTAAATTCATTCTTAAGGAATGAATTTGTGAAGAAAATGCACAGCTGCCCCAAACACTGTAGGCACTGAACGAGCACTCATGGCTTCTCTCTTTGCAGAAATCTCTGTGGACTCTCCTGTTCGTGGGAGGAGTGCCTTTTTCTAGGGTGCAGTGGCTTCCTCTCCATGCTCAGCTCGCACACTCCCGGCTCTGCCTCTGCCCTACGGCCACCGGTCCCCCAGTCGTGCCACATCCCTGCTGCCTGAGGGGATGCTTGCACGGCTCCCTCTGCTGGGACTTTCCACCTATATGCTCGGCCTTGACCCCTCACTCACATACCCTTTTCTTCACAACTCTTTCCTGACTCTCAACACCATCCTACACTCACAGAGTACTGCATGCCTTTCTGACATAGCCGTGTGTCAGTGTGCTGTGCGAAGTGTTTTCATGTGTATATGACTATTTGCATGTTATAGCAGTGTGTCAGTGTGCTGTGTGACTTTGGTGTATGTGACTATTTGCATGTTACAGCAGTGTGTCAGTGTGCTGTGTGAAGGGTTTTCATGTATATGACTATTTGCATGTTATAGCAGTGTGTCAGTGTGCTGCGTGACGTGTTTTCATGTGTATATGAGTATTTGTGTGTTATAGCCATGTGTCAGTGTGCTGTGTGTTTTGTTTATGTGACTATTTGCGTGTTATAGCAGTGTGTCAGTGTGCTGTGTGAAGTGTTTTCGTGTATATGACTATTTGCGTGTTATAGCCATGTGTCAGTGTGCTGTGTGAAGTACTTTGGTGTATGTGACTATTTGCATGTTACAGCAGTGTGTCAGTGTGCTGTGTGAAGTGTTTTCGTGTATATGACTATTTGCATGTTATAGCAGCGTGTCAGTGTGTTGTGAAGGGTTTTCATGTCTGTGACTATCTACATGTTACAGCAGCGTGTCAGTGTGCTGTCTGAAGTGTTTTCATGTGTATATGACTATTTGCGTGTTATAGCAGTGTGTCAGTGTGCTGTGTGAAGGACTTTGGTGTATGTGACTATTTGCATGTTACAGCAGTGTGTCAGTGTGCTGTGTGAAGTGTTTTCATGTGTGTGACTATTTCCGTGTTATAGCAGTGTGTCCGTATGCTGTGTGAAGTGTTTTCGTTTATATGACTATTTGCGTGTTACAGCAGTGTCAGTGTGCTGTGTGAAGTGTTTTCATGTGTATGACTATTTGCATGTTATAGCCGTGTGTCGGTGTGCTGTGTGAAGTGTTTTCATGTGTATGACTATTTGCATGTTATAGCAGTGTGTCAGTGTGCTGTGTGACGTTTTCATGTGTATATGACTATTTGCATGTTATAGCAGTGTGTCAGTGTGCTGAGGGAGGTGTTTTAGTGTATATGACTATTTGCATGTCTTCTGCACACTAGATGGAGTGCAGAGTGTGTTGCCTGTTTTTCTCCACCGCTCCATCCTCAGTGCCTGCTACAGTGTTGGACACACAGTAGGGGTTCAGTAAATGCTAATGAACAGTTGATTAAATGAGCAAAAACCTTTATTGAATACCTACCATGTTCCAGACATGGCTAACTGATGAGAATTTACCAATTACATGCTTGCTGCCTTCAGGGAGCTCAACCTCACAAGACAGACCGTCATGTAGAGACAACTGCTACACAACATGGGAAGAACTGCTAGAGATGTAAAGATGTAAAGACCCAAAATGAAGAAGCCAGAACACATGAACACAAAACCAGCCAACCAACAAACACAAGCAGCATGGAGCATAGAGTCTGGGGACCAACTGCATGGTGCTGAGGAATGCAGGTGGAGGCAGAGTGGAAATCACCTGAGTTTCCATCAGGCAGAGTTGCACTTGAATTTGAGTTCTGGCACTTGCTGAGCCTCTCTGATTCTGTCTTCTGTAAAATAGGAGTAATAATATTTATTTATATCTACCGTACAGGCAATTGTGAGATTTACTTAAGACATACTGTCTTAGTCCATTTTTCTGTTGCTTATAACAGAATACCTGAAACTAGGTGACTTATTTTTAAAAAGCTTATTTCTTAGAGTTACGAAGGCTGAGAAGTCCAAGGATGGGGGTCTGCAGCTGGTGAGGGCCTTCTTCCTGACGGGAAATCAGAAGAGCCCTAAGGTGGTTCAGAGCACCACATAGCAAGGGGCCGAGGATGCTAGCGTGTTAGCTCAGATCTCTCTTCTTCTTATAAGGCCACTAGTTCCTCTCCCATGATAACCCGTTTAGCCATTAACCCATTAGTTCTTTAATCCATGAGTAGATTGATTCATAAGGGGATAACCCCTGTGATCCAATCACCACTTAAAGGACGCCCCTCTCAATACTCCCATATCGGGGATTGTTGCAACACAAATTAAGATGGCCTATTAGATATCCTTAATCTTACATCTTAAGGTGTTCTGTGATGTTGCAGTTCAACCCCCTCTCATTCCTCTCTACTCTTTTAGCAGTTACAAACAAACAAACTCACCAAAGAAAACACCAGACAAACATACATCCAATAGTATTGTGTCCGGAATTGGTGGGTTCTTGGTCTCACTGACTTCAAGAATGAAGCCACGGACCCTTGCGGTGAGTGTTACAGTTCCTAAAGATGGTGTGTCCAGAGTTTGTTCCTTCAGATGTTCAGATGGGTCCAGAGTTTCTTCCTTCTGGTGGGTTTGTGGTCTCACTGGCTTCAGGAGTGAAGCTGCAGACCTTCACAGTGTTACAGCTCATAAAGGTAGCGTGGACCCAAAGAGTGGGCAGCAGCCGCCAAAGACGGTGCAGACCCAAAGACTGAGCAGCAGCAAGATTTATTGCAAAAGGCAAAAGAACGGAGCTTCCACAGTCTGGAAGGCCCTAGCCGGTCGCCACTGCTAGCTCAGGCAGCCTGCTTTTATTCCCTTATCTGGCCCAACCCACATCCTACTCATTGGCTCATTTTAGAGAGAGCTGATTGGTCCATTTTACAGAAACCTGATTGGGCTGTTTTACAGAGAGCTGATTGGTCCATTTTGACAGAGCACTGATTGGTGCATTTACAAACCTTTCGCTAGACACAGAGCGCTGATTGGTGCATTTACAATCCTTTAGCTAGACAGGAAAGTTCTCCAAGTCCCCACCAGATTAGCTAGACACAGAGCGCTGATCGATGCGGTTACAAACCTCTAGCTAAACAGAAAAGTTCTCCAAGTCCCCACCCGACACAGAAACCCAGCCGGCTTCAGCTCTCAATGGCACTTGCCCTGAGACTTTGCGGCACCTAGCCTGGGTGCTCCGGCAGCCTAGTAGGCACCGGCCGGCCACACCGAGTGTGGGCCCCTGAGCCTGCACCCACCCGGAACCAGCACTGGCCCGCGAGCATGCACAGCCCCGCTCCCGCCTGCACCTCTCCCTGCACACCTGGTGGGGAGCAGAGGGAGCCGCCGGGCCTCCGCCAGCCCCAGAGAAGGGCCCCCACAGCACAGCGGTGGGCTGAAGGGCTCCTGGAGCACTGCCAGAGCGGTTGCTGAGAGCCAGTGAGGGCTGCTAGCACGTTGTCACCTCTCAGTATTAACAATACAAATACTTTTTTGTCTTATTTGTCCTTTGACTTATTTATAACCAACCGAATGTAGAGAAAGTGATGCTGATGTTGAGTGACTCTGGAGGCTAGACCAGAAAATGTTGAAGAGTATCAGAATATACAACCCTAATATATGTTACTTTTGCATAAATTTTATTTTTAAAATTTTTAATTTTTATTTTAAGCTGAAGGCAATTGAGAAAAAGAAGATGCGAGAAGAGCTGTTTACCCTTCCTTTATCTGCTTAAAAGCAAGGAATAAATTTCCATTATAAAGGTGTCCCCTTGTTCTCATACCAAGAAGAGGAGACAGCATCAAGATTACTCTACATAAAGAAACCCAACTAAATAACCCTTATCTATAATAGTTTCTCCCATATATTTACCTTCCTACAATTTAATGCCCCTAGAAGCCCAAGCCCCTTTTCTTTGGTTGCTTCCCCACAATTTATCGTACTTTGTTAAAATGGTAGGTAAGCTCCTAAGTGTAACCACTTCTTTGGATTTTTTTAGTTCTTTCTCTGCAGTTCCCATGCATATAAAAATATTAACAACAAATAAAATTTGTATGCTCTTCATTCGTTGGTCCATCTTTTGTCAGTTTAATTCACAAATTAAGCTGCAGAACCTAAGAGGATGGAGGAAAAGTTTTCCTTTCTTACAAGATCATGCAGCATCTGCTTCACTTACTGAGGAGCCCCGAGCCACCATGTATAAAATCTGAATACCCGAAGACCCCCGTACTGTGAGGAAGCCCGACCACATGGAGAGGCCACATGAAGGTTCTCAAATCAGAACCCCAGCTGAGGTCCCAGCCTACAACCAGTATCAACCACCAGACATGTGAGTAATGATGTTTCCAGTTGATTCCAACCAACAGCCTTTGGGTCACCTCCAGCCTTTGGATCTTTGCATCTGAAATGCCACGCATGACAGAGCAGATACAAGCATTTCTGCTGTGTCCTGTCCAAGTCTCTGACTGATAGAATCTGGGCTTGTTCTAGGCACCTGAGTCTTGAGGTTGTTTGTTACACAGCCTTAGTAACTTGAACAACGGTTATGCAACACTTGAGCTAGACCTTGAAAGATGAATGGGGATTTTTGTCTAGCAAAACTGTTTGGAAAAGGCTTAATATTTTAGGAGAAAAGTTAAAAGGTAAGTGTGGTTAACACATGGGTTGTGGGAGAGAATCAGGAGATGAGATGAAAAAAGTTGATGTAAGAAAGTGTGCTGTATGGTTTGGTGAAAATTATAATATATTTGTTCATCAGCATAGGCAATTTTCTTCCAGACCACTGGCTTTGAAATGATGTATTTTTAAAATTGCAAAGTTTATACCATAGAATTTCTGGAGCCTTCTGAAATTTCAATTGGAGATAAAACAGGACTTCAAAATGTAACTTCTCTTAAATTATGAGCTATGGTTTAACTGATGAGTAATTTTTAGTTTTATTGTTGGTTAAAAACACACTGTCATTCCCATGAGTGCTCGCATGCAGTTTTAGCATGTGTGTGTATGTCTCTTTTATTTTTTGTTTTGTTTTGTTTTGTTTTGTTTTGTTTGCGGTGAGCAGGTTGGTATCAGAGTTATGAATGAGAAGCATTCTTATCAGAATATACTGGATACTAATACATTTTGCATGTAATTTTCTACAGAGGTAATGATTTTAATCAACTTTCAAGATGAAGCACCACATTTGTCAAGGCAGAAGACCCAAATGTGCAATTTTTTCTTAGGGGAAAACTGGCTATAATGAATGTGCTAAAATATGTTAGTTATCTACTAACCTCAATACGCAAGAAAGCACTAGATCATCAGTTTGCCTGGTAAGGGAAAAAACAGCGGCTGCAGCCTGCCCAGCTAAAGAAGAAAGTGGAATCAGCAGAACAAGTGGCCTGTGAAGATGCCAGCTTGTGAGAAATGCCTGGCTGACTGTGAACAGGGATATTATTAAATGGATGCATATGATACATAGCGTAATTATACCACTTATGGCAGAAAAACATCACCATTTTATCAAATGCTCCACTGTGTACATCAAAGATCATGGTATCATCTATCTCTGGGATGCTATGTGAGCTTTGTGGTTCTGGAAGAGCTTCTAGTCAAGTTTTGATTAATTATTGATGGTTTTATTTGATTATAGAAGTAGAGCTTGAATGTGTGTGTGCGTTTTCCATTTTTCTTGTAAGAACTGACAATATTGATTAAATTTCCCTTTTAGGAGTGGGAAGCAAGAAGCAAAGTAATTGTCACCACTTCTTGGAGAAGAATGGCTTATAGTGCTTTGAACATATCGTCTCAAAATAACCTCTTTGGAAGATTAGTGGAAAGAAGCAAAACTGTGAAGACCTTGGTTCACAGTAGCTGTTGATGTTTCTTTTTTTCATTTTGGTATTGATTATAATCGCTTCTTCATAAAGCTCAGATGCAGGGTTTATTTCCAGTTCTTTCACCGTGCTTCTTACCTCAGAGTCAAACCATTGCTATACTCTCCACATAGTTGGTTTCCAGTGTTTAAATTGCATGCGTGAGGGGCTCAGATTTGTGACATTGCTTTACATATATTACTGTAAAAAAAAAAACATAACCCCAAATCTAGAGTATATAAGGCTTTGTGCTAAGCAAGCATGGAAAAGAGTTACTTATGGCTTATATCCATGTGTGGACTATGATTGATAGAATTTCCCTTGCAATTGCCAAAGAGAAGTCTACATGGTCTTTGAAGAAACAAATTACCTATGACCCCATGTATTTGCATTTGTGCTCTTCCTAACTATACAGTACAGTCTGAATTTAGCCCCCCAACATAGGGGGATGTTTTAGTGGACAAGCACTTAATTCATTTTAAGGTTTTGAGGATTTATCTTATAAGCACTTACTAAGCACTGGTTATGTCTCAAGGCCAGGGCTGCACCCTGGAGACTCAGGGAAGCACAATACTTGATTTCATGGATCTCATAATCTAGTGCTATGGAAACATTAAAATATTAAAACCACAGTGGAGAAGAGCAGTGGATAGGTCTTAGGGAAGAAGGCTTGTATGAAAGGTGATGCCTGAAATCATACTTAGTCATCTTTATATATGATAATTTTTATGGAAGAATGAAATCTTCAGGATTCAATGATATTTTCATTTTAGCAAACTGGCCATCTCTTTTCTTTGAGCTTATAAACATGGTTGAATGTGTAAAGTAGCGAGACAAGAAAAAAATACCTTTGAGTGACCTTGCTTTATTATGTGAAAAATGACAAACTGGTAGGCAGGAAAGATACATGGCTTACCATGTATCTTTCAATTTTTAGGATGTACTAAAAATTTCAATGCAGTTACCACATAGAAGCAAGAGCTAGAGAAGTTCTGAGAGAATTTTTAATCTTTAGGTCAGACAGCAAGGATGTGAGGCGGTAAAGTTAAATTACACTGAGTTACACTGATATTCACTAGTCTGATAGATACAGAGAGACACAATTACCTTCACTCACACAGAGTTTCCTAGGGCTGCAGGAACAAAGCGCCATAAGCTCGGTGGCTCAAAACATTCGGAAATGGTTCTCTCACAGACTCACGGCCACGGAAGCTCCAAGTCTGAACTCAAGGTGTTGGCAGGGCTGTGTTCCCTCTGGAGGCCCTACGGGAGGGCCCTTCCTCGTCTCCAGCTTCTGGTGGCTTCAAGTGTCCCGTAGTTTGTGACAGCCACACTCCAATCTCTGCCTCTGTCTTCACATGGCCTTCTCTGTGCATCTGTGTGTGTCAAATCTTTGTCTGTCTTTGTCTTATAAGGACACTTATTGGATTTAGGGACCACATGGATAATCCAAGATAACCTCATTTCAAAACCCTTAATTTTATAATATTGGCAAGACTTTTTTTGTTTGTTTGTTTGTTTGTTTTGCAAATAAGGCCAGAGTCACAGGTTCCAGATGGACATATCATTTGAGGGGAGACAATTCAACTCACTATATACACAAACACATGTGTGTATCTATATAGCTGTATAATTGACACCATGAAATCATTAATGAAGACACTGCCCTTTTTTTGAGACAGAGTCTCGCTCTGTCGCCCAGGCTGGAGTGCAGTGTGTGATCTCAGCTCACTGCAACCTCCACCTCCCGGATTCAAGCAATTCTCCTGCCTCAGCGTCCCAAGTAGCTGGGATTACAAGCGCCCGCCACCACGCCTGGCTAATTTTTGTATTTTTAGTAGAGACGGGGTTTCACCATGTTGGCCAGGCTGGTCTCGATCTCTTGACCTGGTGATCCACCTGCCTTGGCCTCCCAAAGTGCTGGGATTACAGATGTAAGCTACCCCTCCCATATAAAACACTGCCCTTTCTATAGAAAAACTGGTCAAGTACTGGACAGTTTACTACAAAAGAAACAATAAATAGATAAAAAATGAAACCTAGGTTCAAAAGCATGAATAATGAATCTTGATTTTAATGATGGTTTCATCAGTGTATGCATATGTCCAAACATCAAATTGTACATTAAATATGTGCAGTTTTTTATATTGATTTTACCTCAACAAAGCTGTTATAAATACAAATAATAAAAAGTGCAAATAAATTGACAAGATACAAATATATTTAACTATCAAAATGATAGAGATTAAAAAACTGTGCTGCTGGCCAGGTGCGGTGGCTCACGCCTGTAATCCCAACACTTTGGGAGGCCAAAGTGGGTGAATCACCTGAGGTCAGGAGTTCGAGACCAGCCTGGCCAACATGGTGAAACCCCATCTCTACTAAAAATACAAAAATTAGCTGGGCATGATGGTGCACACCTGTGATCTCAGCTACTTGGGAGGCTGAGGCAGGAGAATTGCTTGAACCTGGGAGGCAGAAGTTGCAGTGAGCTGAGATCAGGCTGCTGTACTCCAGCCTGGGCAACAGAATGAGGTTCCATCTCAAAAAAACTACAGACAAACAAAAAACAGTGCTGTTGAGTGTGCATTGAGACAGGCATTTTCCAGCACTGCCTTTCTGGAAGCAGGGAGGAGAGGCACAGAAATTTCAGCAAGGGTAAAGTCTTCATCCTGCAACCATGTTTCTAGGAGTCTAGATAATTCGATATACAGGTAAAGTCATAGCATTTATTTAATCATGTTAATTAGTTATGTTATGTAACATATAATAAGATAATATTGTATGTTAATATATAATATAAATATATTATGCTAATACATTAATATATACACACTTAGTCCTTCTATCTGTTACTAAAGAGAGCTCACGTGACATCAGCAAGGAAACACAGTCCTTCTATCTGTTACTAAAGTGAGCTCACGTGACATCAACAAGGAAACACAGTTAGTCCTTCTATCTGTTACTAAAGCAAGCTCACCTGACATCAACAAGAAAATACACACTTAGTCCTTTGTATCTGTTACTCAAGCGAGCTCATGACATCAACAAGGAAACATACACTTACTCCTTCTGTTACTAAAGGGAGCTCATGTGACATCAACAAGGAAACACACAGTTAGTCCTTCTATCTGTTGCTAAAGGGAGCTCATGTGACATCAACAAGGAAACGCACTGTTAGTCCTTTGTATCTGTGAGTTGTGCATCTGCCGATTCAAGCAGCCAGGAGTCAAAAATATTTGCAAAAAAAGCCCTTTAAACTGTATTGAACATGTACAAAGTTTTTCTTTTTATTATTCTCTAAATGACACAGTGTAACAACGATTTGCATAGCATTTACATTGTAGTAGGTGTTACCAGTAATCTAGAGATGATTTAAAGTATAGGGAGAATGTGCATAGGCTACGCTGAATACTACACCATTGCATATCAGGGACTTGAGCGTCTAGGGATTCTGGTATCTGGGGGAGGTCCTGGAACCAATTTCTCATGAATACCGACAGATGACTGTATGTTGTATCTTGATGCAATGAATAAACAAAGCAGATAACAGTAACTGACATGGGGTAGAAGGTGAGGGGAAATGAAGGGGTTGCTATTTACATGTTTATATGAGATGAACAGGGCAGACCCCACAGAGGGGATATTTAACAGAAACTGAACGTAGGAGAAGCAGTCCTGAGAACTGTAGACCAAGAGAGCTCGTGGTGGCCCTGGGAAGGGGCTTGTCAGATCTCGTGGCCCCTGGGGGCTGGTGACTGTTAGCGGCTGGCCAACAGCCAGCTGCCGCCCTGAAATCTGCCACTGTCAGCCGGTAACCCAGCATGGCGGAGTATAAAGGCAGGCCTGCTGCAAGGAGATGAAGGACCCCTCTGCTGGTCAGCCTGGGCTGGAGGGTTCTACTACCAGCCTTGCCAAAAGTTTCTCAGAATTGCACTGCATTTTAAGACTTTGCCTGCCCAGACCCCTGCAGCCCCTTCTCATTTTCCTCCACAGGCACTTCTCCCAAATAATCTCTTGAGTGGCAAATACTATTCTGGTGTTTGCTGCTCCAAGAACCCAGATGTACACAGTGTTCCAGCAGAGGCTGCACAAATACAGTGGCCCCGAGGAGCTTGGCATTTTTGAGGAGCATCAAGGAGGCCAGTGTGGCATTCATGGAAAGGACAGAGGGAGAGTGGGAGATGAGGTCAGAAATGTACTTGAAGTCCTTGCCGAAGAAAAATAGTTGACTTGCTTATTATAAAACCCTTTTAGTTAAGGAAGAAATAAAAACTGTTAACCAATGGCATCTGTATCCATTACAGAATTTAAAAGAAGGGCATCATACAGCCAGTACCTTACAATCTTCCCATTAGCAGCATTCAACACATCTGTCTAGGTAGTAAACCTAAGTGGCCCAGCTCTGGGCCATTAAATTTTGATGTAACCCATTAAGGAAACTTACGGCCTTAGTTCAAAGGGCTGTTGCCA
This sequence comes from Homo sapiens, assembly GCF_000001405.40. Lineage (NCBI taxonomy): Eukaryota > Metazoa > Chordata > Mammalia > Primates > Hominidae > Homo > Homo sapiens. The sequence goes on along the minus strand of NT_187508.1, from coordinate 35,598 downwards.
TTGTGTCTGTGAGAGCGGTGCTGCAGAGTGCATTTTATGCAAATCTCATAGATTTTAATGAGTGCTCCTGCTTAATAAGCTAGTTAGACCATTTGGGCATTTACTTGAGAGTGACCACAAATGCCTTTTTCTGAAACCATTTCACAGTGCTAACATTTAACTGAAATAGCACTTAACACAGAGCCAGGCACACAGCGAGCACTAAGAGTGTTACGTTACTGATGACAGGGATGAAGAACAGGAGTCTTACCAGACTCCTGTGTGTCTGTCTCGATGCTCCTGAATGACCCAGACAAAAAGGGACTAGAAACTTTCTTTTCAGGAGTTTGTGGCTTAGATCCTTGTTTCACCACAAAGCATGAGCTTGACACAGCCTGGACTTGACAGCACTTTCCACAGGGCACTTAAAAATACTTTTACCTCCTCTCTTTTACCTCCATAAACCATGACAGGTCTTTGCTCAGCCTCTGATAAGCAAAAGATTAGAAAATCCCTTTAAACTTCAGAAACAGAGCAATGCTCAGTCAGGCAATAAAAGCTGCAGAAATTGGTCTTGAATATTATCACTGTGTATCAATTGAAGTCAGATGAAGAGCTCCACATTCATCCAAAGTTCTTTTCATACTAATTAGATGCTCTTCAAAGGTGTAATTACCATTTAAAAATGACTTTGGAGTGCAGGATACACAATAGATTTTTAATGTCTTTTAATTTCTTTCGATGTTTCTCATATTTCATTAGTACGTTCTTATTTTACCAAAGAGTCACAGGACTTTCAAGGACATTCCCTCTCCCACAGTTAAAATGCTAAACAGAAGCTAAGCTCATGTGAAAAACTTGTCTCAATAACCAGAGAAAGACTATACTAATTACAATTTGGATTGCGTGGATTATCAATTTGTCCGATACTCCGTTTGCCTCCACCTTGAGGAGAGAACTATTTCCAGCCCCAGAGTCAAGCTGCCTCATTGCACGGAAGAGGGAGTAAAATAAGAAGCCTGGTGAAGTGCTTATTGTCACAATTTGTGGTACAGCTGACACTTAGACTACATCTGCCCTTGAAGCTCAACCTCTTTGCCCTACTCCTGTGGTGTTTCTTGGCATCTGGTATCATTTCAAAAGGGTAAGAATGGCATAGAGAAGGTTTCTCATTGCTAAGCATGGAGTAGGAATATTTTAGTGAAATGTGTAAGTTTTGGGGCAGAAGTAAAAACACCCCATCTGCTCTTCCACACTTCGAGAGAGCGGCACACAAAGCAGCAACTTGGCTCTGGGCGGCAGCTGGCTGAGGTCTCATGGTCTGGAGGACAGCCCCTGGCTTTCACATCGTCCATGTCTTGCCATTTCTCTTTGGATAAGGCACAAATGTCTGAAGATATCCTCCAGGCCCGAGGACCTGCTCCTATTCTATCCAGTCTCGTCTTTCATGAGCCACTGTGCTTCAGCCACTGCTTTTCCTTCCACCCCTTTGTCTTTCCTTTTTCCCAGGTATAAGGCCTTTGCACTTTCTAAACCCTCTAACCTGGAACACTGTTTCTTCTATTTATCTCAATAACTCCAACCCCTTCTTTGTACCATATTTCAAGCACTGCTCCCCAGGAAAGCTCTCCCTGCCCTCTGCCCAGCCCGGGGCCTGTGATTATGGGTCTTTGCAGCACCAAGGGCCTCCCCTTCACTGTACACATGGGTTGCATGTTTCTACTTGTGCATGCAAATATTTGATTCAGGTCTACATCCTCCAGCCCCCTTACAGAATATACTGCTAAGGGCAGGTATGGGGTCTGGTTTTGCCCACCCCTGTGTCTCCATAACATAGCACAGTGCCTGACACAGAGAAAGGAGAAGGTGCTCCATGAACATTTCCTGACCCAATCCCTGACCAAATTCTCTAGAAGGGTTGCTGTGCTCTCATTGCACAGACATGCTGCAGGAGCACTCTGCTGTTCTCCAGAATTCTGGCTCTCCATCTCAAAATGATTCTGTGAGTGGCTGCATAATGCATCCTGACCAAAGAGTCAGGAGCCCTGCAATCCTTCAACACTTCTGCAATTAATGAGCTTTCAGACACAGGGCAAACCATTTAACGTCTGTCTCTATGTCTTCTTATATGTAAAATTAGATTTTTAATATCAGCTTTATTTACCTTACCGAGTTATTCTTCTATAACAAGAACATTAAGAGCCTGGCTTGTATTCGTTTGAGCGAGAGATTGTTGGTGTGAAAAGCATTGGTTATAGGCAGTTTCTTACTTCTACACACAGTGGATTCCTACACATGTGTTTCAAAGTTGAATAACAAAGAATAATGAGGGAGACATTTCCAGAGAACTAAAAATACATTCTAAAATTCCTAGTAGTGGTTAATTATGTGCTGCCTCCCTCAGACCCATGAGGCAGGTGAGGCCTTCAAATGCACGTAGCACAGGGGGCCACCAGCCATCCTGGGGATGGGAAAGATGACCCGAGCACCTCCTCTTCCCGGCCTGACCACTCCTCTGCCCACTGCTGCAGCGGCCACAGCATTTCCACGTCTTTAGGAAGATTTGGGTGGCTGGAAACCGACATCCAGATATCGGGAAAAGCAGCTCTATCTTCTTGCCATCTGTGGTAAATTGTAAATGTGACCCCAAATGTTTACTGTTTCCTTTTTCTCCAGCCTTTGCCATGTAATTTTATAGAGGTCACCAAGTTTGACTTTGGGCTTAGCCCTGTGAATTAGTCTAGGTTCTCCAGAAAAACAGAAACAATAGGATAGGTGTGTATACATATAAAATAATATTGTTCATAATATTATTTTTATTTATTTATTTTTTTGAGACAGATCCTTGCTCTGTTGCCAGGCTGGCATGCAGTGGCATGATCTCTGTTCACAGCAACCTCCGCCTGCCGGGTTCAAGTGATTCTCCTGCCTCAGCCTCCCGAGTAGCTGCGACTACAGGCGCCCGCCACCACGCCCCATTAATTTTTGTATTTTTAGTACAGACGGGGTTTCACCATGTTTGCCAGGATGGTCTCGATCTCCTGACCTTGTAATCCGCCCGCCTTGGTCTCCCAAAATGCTGGGATTACAGGTGTGAGCCACTGCACCCGGCCTATAATACTATTTTATAAATATATACCATATGAAATTGGCTCACGTGATTATGAAAACAAAAGTCTCAAGATAGATATGCATTTGCAAACTGCAGACCTAGGAAAGCTGATGGGCTAATTCTAGTCCAAATGCTGGTGGGCTTCCAAGGGAAAATCTGATGTTTCAGTTCAGGTCCACAGGCAGAAACACGAAACACAAAACCCAATGCCTGGGTTCACAGCAGTCCAAGCAGAAAGAGTTCCCTCTGACTTGCTCCATTCAGGCCTCCAGCTGATTGGCTGAGGCCCAGCCACATCGGGTGGGGCGGGGGGGACAACCTGCTATGCTCAGTCTGCCAATGTAAATGCTAATCTCATTTGCAATCACCCTCCCAGACACACCCAGAATAATGTTGAAACAAATTTCTGGGCACCCTGTGGCCCAGTCAAGTTGACACATACAATTAACCATCCCACCATGAGATTTGCTGTGGCCAGTGGGATGTTCACAGATGAGATGCCAGCAGAGCCTTGAAAGACTCTAGACCTGTCAGGCCACCCAGGTACTCACTTGGGAATGCACGCTGATGGAGGTGCTTTCGTGGCCACTGTGGCAGGCAAAGGGAGTGTGGTGTCCCCTGTGCTGGTCCTTTGCAGGAAGTGACACATGCCGCTTCCACTCATGATTCCTGCCCGACTTGCGTGAACAGACTGTCTGCACAAGGTGGGGTGTTCCAACCAACTTCTACAGATCTTGTAATTGATGATTTGACATGCACTAATCACAGGGCCAAACTAATGGCCAAAGGTGTCTACATCACCCTTCAGTCCCACTTTTGAGGTAGCATAAAAGTCATATCACAAACCCTCCAGCCACAAACAAATCTGTGACTTGTTTCCTGCCGAATAAGGGCTGTCCCTACTTTGTGACTTCTCCCCTCTGGGTTCATGGAGGCTTCGATCCATGCTTCCTGTACTCCTGCCTCCTGCCCAATCCTGGCGCTGCCTGGGCAGCCCTGTGTGGCATGCCAATGCTCCTTTTTCTTAGGAACTGTAAGAAACAAGCTCTTATTTCAAAGGCAGTTGTTCCTGTCTGTGTCTATCACTTTACCATACCTGAATTAAACAAATCCTGAACTCAAATCATAAAACATGGAGAATGCAAGCATATTATATGAGCAGAAGGAGTGGAATATCTGTGGACAGTCCTGATGGCTCAGACCCTTAGTTCCCACAGTGTTCTGAGAATGCCCGCTGATCTCTGCTGACACTGACTTCCGTGCATGGTATTTGCCTGCCGTCCCTGGCACGATAGGAGGTTATGGTTGTTGAGTGTAGTCATTCCTTAACCACTTTGCTATCCTGCCTTATTATTGTCAATAAATACTATAACATATGCTAAATTTTAGCATTCTGTGAAATGAGAGAGGGTGTATGATATTGTTTCTAAGGCAGAAACCGAGACAGCAAGATCTTACTGCACCATTCTGTGGCTTCCCAGCACCAAGTCATTCTGATGACCCAGGTCTCACACTGGCACCTTCAGAAAACCATGGTGCCAGGAAGTTAAAATCTTATTTGAATCCAAATAAAAGACATATTCAGACTCCTAGTGACTCATGACCTGAAGTCTAAGGTTTATTTGGAATTGGCGGAGATAGCACTGGTAAATATATATACTTTTTTAAAATGAAGGGTCCAAAAATACGACATTTCCCTAAGCATTAAGTCAGACTGAGAAATTTGTACCAGTGATTTGGAGCCTGGAGGTAATGAGGCAAAAACTTAATGAGCTTATTCCGGGACCCCCACCTGAGTCAAGACCTCAAAGCCTTAAGGATACAAATTTCCAGTGGCGGCTTGTTGACAATAACAGAAAAGGCGGAATCATGAGCAAGCCGGCTGTCTGCCCACCGAAGAGAGTGCTCGGAAATGCTTGGCAACACTCCCCACCTGTGTGACTCCCTCTTTCAGCCTGGAGGGCTTTCCACGTTTCCAGTGTGCATCCTCTTGACATTAAAGACATTATCCCAGGGCGCTTACCCTGAGCAAAGCTTCCTCTTCTCAGCTCCTACAGTTTGGCTGATGCTGCTCAAGAGTCCCCCACAGTCCTGGCATCTGGTTTACTTCTGGGAGGCATCTGCCCTGCTGAAAGACAGGAGGCGGCGGAAAGAACAGATAGAACAGGATCCCCGGGGCTCTGATTCTTAAGGGAAAGCAACATGACCTTGGCTGGTGGATCGGCTAACAAGAGGCTTAAATAGAGGCCCTGTTGCTCCCTACAAGAAGTTTGGACACACTGTGATGAGGCATTTGAAAGAAAACCTTCCGAGTACAGTGGGAATCTGTATCATAAACAAAAGAAGCCTTTGGTATGCCCTGTGTGCCCCCTGCACAGTGCACTCAGTACATAACTACAGACTGTTCTGCAAAAAAATGAAACAACTGGAATTTTTAATATCATGTCTGAGATTTCCTGTGAGAACATGGTGTACACGTTCTACTAAGTTCAAGGTGCGATTTTCCCCTAATTGTTTTCAATAGTTCCTTCCACTGTTAGCATCTTTCAGAAAAATATCAGCACATTGCTTTCCCTAGAGGGAATAGAAGAGAATAAAATCCCATGATTTAATCTTTAAAAAGTTGAGAAACAAAAGTCAAAAACATCCAAATTTAATGCTGCCTTTTCTAGCTTATGCATGTTACGTTAATATCTAAATGATGTCCAGAAGTATTTACTTGTGTCATATTTACAGAACTGGCTGACAGACTTTAAGAAACTTGTTTTGGCTTTTGTTATTAATGTTCTCAGGAACACTTGACATGAAAGTTCTGGTTTTCTATAAAACAGAGTTTTGACATTTTTGGAGAAACTTAAAATAGGTCTACTAGGTTCTGGTGAATTCAGAATATTCAGAGGACATAAAGCATGACTGATGAGGAGCATAGGATTTTGTGCCTCAGAGCACTTACCATTGATTAAAGGCCTTTAGGTTGGATTCTGACCTGGAGATAGTGTCCACTGACTTCACGGCAGTCTCTCTTCTGCAAATAGGGGTACTGCTTTTCCTCATCCTTATGGAAATGATATAGTGGGATGTGAAAACATGTGGTTTCCCCCTTGAAGTTCTAAACATTCCAAAAGTGTCATTTACTCACTAGATCCTTAATAGATCTTCCTTCTAATATGGATTTTTTTAAAAAAATTTAGATCACTCTTGCTTTCATGATTTGAGAAGGTGTTACTTAGAGAAATAAGGCAAAAGGAAAACTTTAAGATTGACATTTGTCTAGGGTGCCTCCAACATTTCTAGAACATTAGATAGATTATCACTCGATCTCTTGTTTTGAAAGCAAATTGGTTTCTAGAAGACCCACTTTGATGATGAGACCTGTGGAGGTTTTCATCACAGATGTTTATTTACATGGAGAAGAACCCCTGAACATGGTGACCAGATGAAAGGCAGCTCAGGGCTGAGCTCTCGGGACTCAGCTCTGCCATCAGCCACCAGCCACATTTTCCTCTGTGTTTATGAAAATGATGCACCCTTACACTCAATGCTACAGTTCTTGAGTCAGCATTGTGCAAGTTGATTATCCAAATTGGTCCATTCTTGTCATACCCAACTAAATCAGAGAAGAGGGGTCTGAGTAAAAGGCACTCAGGGTACATAACGTCACTCTAGAAATGCTGTTGTCTGCAAGTCCCGTGGCTGAAACTGCCTGTTGTAACCAGAGACCACTTTCATCTGTAGCAGGTGAGATAACAACTGCAAATCAAGGACTAGTTTTGCCCACCACAGTCACCCACCAATCAGACCTTACCAGCCCCCAAAACTTTGCTAATATCAAAGAACTTTCTCACAGGACCACAAAGGAACAGTCCTCTTTTTCCACCTTCGGACCACCCTGTCTGCCTCTATATTGTGAATTGCAATTCTTTCTTCCTAAATATTAAATTTAGAGATTCAGCTCTACATTTTTAATTTGCTTTAGAGAAGGTCAAGCAGACACTTGCCAAACCCTGTGGTTTCTTTGTCACTGTGTGGCTGGGTTCGTTCCTCTTCATTTTGTCCTCACTCACAGCTTCCTTTGTCTGAAGCTTCCTTCTCACTGACCCGCTTACCTCAGGTGGCTTCTCTTCTGTTGTATCTTAAGAGGTAGCTGCTGCAAGTCTTTCTTAATTCACTGGGGAATAATGGCAGCCTCTCCAGGCCTTCTGTGTCAAGACCTCAGTCCTGGTTGGCTGCAAAGCTCCTCACCCAGCCTTGCCAGATAGTCTTGTTTTGCTTTCTTCTTCTAGTCTTCAAATCCCACTCTGATTTTGAGATTCTTTTGTTAAAGCCCAGCAGCAAGGATGGTGGAGCGTGCATTGGGTGTTTGGGTGGCAGGACAGCTGGTTTCTAGTCTTGGGTTGGAAAATACCAAGTGATTTGGCTTTGGGGAAATGACTCCCCTTTTTGGTGTGAGGGATTATTTCTAGTAAATTGTAATGAAGAGATTTCATATCAGTCAACAGAAGTGGTTCTGAGCATGATCACTAAGTGGGAGCGGGAGTCACAGGGCCTCAAGGCTTATCTCCTCCAGGTCAGTTTTATCTCTGCCCCAGGAAGGAAGTACGTGGTAATATATTTCCTGGTCTGGCTGCTGGTTGGAAGTTGTGAGGGTGATTGCCAAATGAATTCTCTATATGTAATCCAGATATCAACTGGCATTTCCTGCTCCTGTGATCTAGATAAGAGAGGCCTAGCAAGCAGGCCACTTGCCGTAGATGCCGAGTTTATGGTCCGCATCACTTTTTTATGTAGGCTGAACCTGGCCCACATGACGTCTGCCCAGATATAAAATTCCACCTCTTCCTTGATTTCCACCTAAAATGTCACTCACCTGAGGCAAGGATCCATGGAGATTTGAAGGAGACATGTGAGAGTACGCTTCAGAAAGGCACGTGCTCCTAGTAAATGTTAAATACTGAGATTCTTAAATGTTTCTTCATGCCCAAGTCTGTATGTTCTACATCCTTGAGAGGGAACCTAATAAAAGGAGTTATTTTTCTTGACAAATGGAGTTTATAAAAAGGACTTTGAGATCTTTCAAAATATGATCTAATATAAGAATCATTTATTTTTGGAAACACATTTGTTTATTCATTCACAGTTACATTCATTCATTCTAGGCTTTTTTGGTTTGGCCTCTACAGAAGAAATTATAAAACTGGTTCAGTACTGCCCCCCATCAGATACACTAATTCCCCAAATAACAGAAGCCAATGATTTCTGCATGTGAATTGTCCAGCTTTTAAAGTCAGCCATTTGGCCATCTGTGGCCATTTGGTGATGTGTTACTTGTGTATGGACTGCCAGTGTTACTAGTGTGGTCTCGATGGAAGGTAGCTCTTCAAGGAAGTAGTAAAAGCCAAACTGCACAAAGCAAATCCTGTAGCTGACAACAATGTGCCCAGGCTTTTCCAGATTTGCTCTAGTTATTCCAATAAGCACTATTCAAACTTATAAACAGATGAAAGGAGAAAAGAAAGGAGCCTTTAAAGACAAAAAGAGGGCTTCTTTCTGCCAGTGAAACATTTCCCAGGTAAGATCACATCATCTGCAATATGGCTTGCAAATGTGTGTTTAAGATAATTTTTGGAACAGCCTAGACCAACCAGTTAAAGTGAATAGGGGTTAAACTCCAGGAGGCACAACAGAATATATATGTCCATATATATATATACATATCTTCACACCAATACACACAAAAACCTTTTATCTCTTTATTTGTTATTTCACAAACCCTAATAACTCTAAGCTGCATAATATCTCTCTTAATGATATAGGCGTTAAGAAGAAACTGCTTAGGCAGATAGTGAGGGTATGGGAATCCTCATAGGTTTTGCTTTTTAATGAAAAGCAGCCCCAAAATCATTGTCTAACAAAGATCAGCCTGTAAGATGGAGCTGCAGACATAGAAAAGCCAGCGGCAAGCTTGCATGGGTGAAGGGCAGCAGGAAAAAGCTACGGGGACTAGGCATGTTCAAAACGGAGGCTCCATCTCCCCTTTCCTTTGCCAACCACGTGTACAGGAAGGAGCAGACAAGATGGCACCAGTCAAGTGGAAAGTCCATTTGCATAGTAAGATTCGGATGGGGTGGCCAGCCTTCTCCGCATGCCGTGTAAACCTATGTAAGCTCTAGGGAAATCAGACACCGCCTCCTCAAGCCTGCCTAAAAAATCCTGCACACTCCTTGCCGGCTGGTCTTCCCTTTGGGAAACTCTCTCTCTCTCTCTCACTAGAGGGAGACTATTCTCCTTTCTCTTTCTTTTGCCTATTAAACATCTGCTCCTAAACTCTTCCTGTGTGTTTGTGTTCTAAATCTTCCTGGCACAAGACCATGAACCCTGGGTATTTACACCAGATAACTTTCCATATGATTTGTTGAGCCTTATATGCTAGGCGCTGAGTTAGGTACTGACTACAAAGAGTTGAATTTGTTGTAGTTTTCTAAAAACCTCATATAATTTCCTTTGAGCTTGACCCTTCCTGTTGAAGTCCAGCTGACATTTTGGTGAGTGTTTCTCTGTGGACTGATTCACCCCGTAGATAACTAGGCAGGAGGCCTGGACAGAGCATGGGAAGGCTCTGCCTGCAGTGGGTGTGCAATGGGAGGAAGGTTTTCCCCAAGAGCCTCTTCACTTAGGGTCCATTTGAACGGGAAGTTTATCTCCCAGCCCATCTTCAGGGGGAATCTGCCGTTGGTGAGTGGAAACAAAGGGCAGGAGTTGGGGTCTCACCACTGTATTGTCCATACCACCACCATCTCTGGAGCCAAATTCCCAATCTGCTAAGGCTTCGTCTCATATTGCACGTCCCCCACACACTGATCTTCCAGGTCTGTGAAGCATTGAAACACTTTTCCATTTCAGGGCTGTTTGTGCTGTTTCCTCAGCTTCAATTTTTCCCCTTCCTGAAGTTTCAGGGAAGCCCTCTCCGTTTAGACCTGACCATCAGAGAGGCATTTCCTGCCCCTCTCCGTCAGTCCCATTTTTGTTTTTACATAGCACGTTCATCAGTTTTTATTTATTATTTGTCTATTCAGCACTTTTTTTTTCTGTTTGTCCTGTTTTACTTTTCCATTAGAATATAAGCAATGAGAGGACAGGGCTGGGTCAGGCTTGTTTGCTATTATATTTGCAATACTTATCTTGTAGGCAATTAATGAATGTAAATAAATTACCTTCAATGCTATGAATTATAATAGTTGCATTTGCTTCTTCACACAAGTGTCCCACGATTACCATAAGCTTGTATGTGTGTTTAGGTTCTTTTTTTCATAGCATTTCCCATAAGATGATTATCTGAGTCAATGCATTGCTTAGGGTTCACCGGAGAAACATGTGTGTGTGTGCGCATGTGTGTACATGTCTGTGTAGGAGGGTGAGACAGACAGAGATTTCATTGAAGGAATTAGTTCACATGATTATGGAGACTGCAGGACCAGAATCTGTAGGATAGACCAGCAGGCTGCAGACCCAGGAAAGGGCCCACGTTGCACTTCTGAAGGCCGCCGGCTGGCAGCATTCCCTCAGGATTGCGGGAGGTCACTTTTTGTTCTATTCAGGCCTTCAACTGATTGGATGAGGCCCACCCACATTACAGAAAGCAATCAGCTTTACTCAAAGTCCCCTGACTGAAGTATTAATCATATTCCAACACACCCTCACAGAAATGGAATATATAACAATATGTGACTAGAACAGTGTTTGACCACCTATCTGGGTGCGATGGCCTGGGCAAGTGGTCACATAAAGTGAGCCAGAATAGACAACCTGAAACTTTAATACCAACAGGCTTGTCCTGAGGCCAGGACACATCTTCATCCAGGTGGGGTGAGGGGCTTGCCATGTTCCCACAAGACCTGTGATTTTCAGCAATCCTTAAGTCTCTGAGGTTCAGATGCCTTGTATATATAACAGGCAGATTAGTCTAAATCCAGAGATTGCAAACTGTAGCCCCCAGGCCAGATCCAGCCCCTCCTGCTTATATGTGGCAACACAGGCTGAGAATGGTTTTTATGGATGAACATTTGGGATTAATTTGGTTCTAGGGAACTAACTTTGAACTTCCAATAAGCAAAATGTTATCTCCTCCTCAAAGGATTCCATTTATCTCTTTTGTGGGCCTGTATTATCAAAACAAACAAAAACTAAATGATTATGTTATAGTTTGAATTTTGTCAAGAAAAATGTTGTGGAAATTTATTTTATCTCTTCTTTTATTAGTATTGACATAATATCTTTGATTTTTGTCTCTTGGCTCAGGAAGCCTAAAACATTTACAATCTGATCCTTTATAGAAAAAGTTTGCCAACCCTTGGTCCAAATGCCTCATGTTTTCAAGTCATGACATTCTGTGTGCCTAGGTTCTCGTGGAATGTAACACGCTACAGGGATCAGCCGTTTGGTGAGTCTGTGGTAAACCTTTTATTGAAAGAGCAGTGTCTTAGATGAAATGAGCTTTGAACAATTTGGGGAAGTAGAGCGATGGCGGGTGGGGAAAGACTTTCTGCTGCAGACAAAGGTTCCCTACATGTCTGCCCTGATCCTGCACCTTTGTGCCCTCTGAACAATGAAGACAAGCCAGGCAAACCCCAGTGATGCTTTAACCTGCAGCTCGGGACAGCCTCCACTCTGTCTCAGACTCACCCGGCTGTGTTCCGGCTTCTGCCTGGGGTTCAGCCACGGGCTCACCTGTCCTTGCAGCAGAACCTCTGTCTTTGGAGTTGGTGCTGGTCTTTGAGTCATTTCTTTGGCTGTGACTCAGTCAAGCCTGATTGGATTCAGACCAGCATGAAGGGTCCTACTGCTCCTAATTCTCCCTCCCAGCTGGGCCTGCTTCAAATCCTCCAGCATTCAGCCCAGCAAACCATGATCTAGCCCAACACTCCCTCTGGGCATGTGCCTCTCCAAGATGCTGCAGGCAGAGGAAGCTGAAAGGCTGAGTGAGCCTCCCATTTGAATGTCTGCTTTTTCTAGGGCAAGCTGTTCTTTTCCATACCTTGTTTGTAAGACAGAGAAGGGGTCTGCCTGAATTGTACCGGGCACTGTGTTAGCGCTCCATGCAGATGGGCCAGGTTGCTTTCACTCTTCTGAGATTAATAGTTGCACTTCATAATCACAGAGCCATTTCACAGTTTGATACCAAGCACCCATACAGACAATATTTGGAGTCAGTGAAGAGAGTTTTTGCAAATGTCTTAGAAGATAAATTAGCGACAGTGTGAGAGATCAGTTTGCACTGTGCTTCAGTTTTCCATTGCAGGCTCTTACTAACCTGATCCCATTACAGCTTTGAATTAGGAAATAAGCCTGAGGCACAAATAGCTGTGAAAGCTTTGTTTGGTTGAGGGTTTTGGAATTCGAATGCTTAACAAAAGTTTGCAAAATCCTGTGAAATTTCTTTCTTTTCTTTTCTTTTTTTTTTTTTTGCATTTCATTTACCTTGTCTTATTTGTTCTTTCTGTTCTCTCTAGTATTATTTTCAAATGCAATTAAGACCACCTAGTTCTGTCATTGGCTGGAATTCCCAGGAATCAGTGACCCTTTGATAGAGGTATGTGTGCCCTGCCCAGGGGACCCAGTGGGCAGCATGAGGCTCCCCTCTCCCCTTTCTCAACCAGCCTGGAGTATGTTGGAAATAAAACAGAGAGCTAAAGAACGTGGAGAAACTGCCGGCCTGAACCCAACTAGAGTGGAAAACATCCAAGGAAGGCCGGTGGCGCTGGGAAGTGAGCTGAGTCTCTTGGGTTCTAAAAAGCTGGAAGGATTGGAGCAGGAACCCAGCCCCACACTTTCCAGCTTGTTTTGTCGACAGGAATGTTTTGCTGGAGGAAAGGCCTGAGGAGAAGTTTGATTTTCTGTAACTCAAGTAGATTTGGAACATTGCTCTTCCTTTCCATTGCAAACAGTTTTTTCTTCCAATGCTGATATTCGTTGAGATGTTTAACTCCTGTGTATTTAAAAAAGAAGGGTATAAATACATTCAGATACTAAAAACATTATTTGCAGTTAATTTAAATATATATTAGAGTAATAAAAATTCGGAAAGTGATTGTAACACTTACTTCACGTGTGGATTTAACTATGTGAATTGATCAGAAGCTGAGCTTAAATGGCAATCACTTCCTGAGCTTTGGTTGGGTATCTCTTACTCCCTAGAGCACGGTTGGTTCCTTGCTTTCAGTTCAGATTGATTTGTGCAAAAGTGAACTCCTTGTCTTCCCCGTCAAGTGAGCCCCCACACAACTACTTTATTTTTTCGGCGATACCATCGTTCTTTCAGTTACCTGGACTCAGAAACTGGAGCTGCTTGTCATTTCTTTCTGTGCTCTGTCTTCCATGTCTTTACATTTCCAAATCATGTGAATGTATCCCTAGTGCCCCACTGGTGTTTCCATCTCCATGACCCCACCCTCCACCCTTATTCCACTGGTGTTTCCATCTCCACGACCCCACCCTCCACCCTTATTCCACTGGTGTTTCCATCTCCACGACCCCACCCTCCACCCTTATTCCACTGGTGTTTCCATCTCCACGACCCCACCCTCCACCCTTATTCCACTGGTGTTTCCATCTCCACGACCCCACCCTCCACCCTTATTCCACTGGTGTTTCCATCTCCACGACCCCACCCTCCACCCTTATTCCACTGGTGTTTCCATCTCCACGACCCCACCCTCCACCCTTATTCCACTGGTGTTTCCATCTCCACGACCCCACCCTCCACCCTTATTCCACTGGTGTTTCCATCTCCACGACCCCACCCTCCACCCTTATTCCACTGGTGTTTCCATCTCCACGACCCCACCCTCCACCCTTATTCCACTGGTGTTTCCATCTCCACGACCCCACCCTCCACCCTTATTCCACTGGGGTTTCCATCTCCACGACCCCACCCTCCACCCTTATTCCACTGGGGTTTCCATCTCCACGACCCCACCCTCCACCCTTATTCCACTGGTGTTTCCATCTCCACGACCCCACCCTCCACCCTTATTCCACTGGTGTTTCCATCTCCACGACCCCACCCTCCACCCTTATTCCACTGGTGTGTTCCATCTCCACGACCCCACCCTCCACCCTTACTCCACTGGTGTTTCCATCTCCACGACCCCACCCTCCACCCTTATTCCACTGGTGTTTCCATCTCCACGACCCCACCCTCCACCCTTATTCCACTGGTGTTTCCATCTCCACGACCCCACCCTCTACCTCTTATTCCACTGGTGTTTCCATCTCCACGACCCCACCCTCTACCTCTTATTCCACTGGTGTTTCCATCTCCATGACCCCACCCTCTACCTCTTACTCCACTGGTGTTTCCATCTCCATGACCCCACCCTCCACCCTTATTCCACTGGTGTTTCCATCTCCATGACCCCACCCTCTACCTCTTACTCCACTGGTGTTTCCATCTCCACGACCCCACCCTCTACCTCTTATTCCACTGGTGTTTCCATCTCCACGACCCCACCCTCTACCTCTTACTGCACTGGTGTTTCCATCTCCATGACCCCACCCTCTACCTCTTATTCCACTGGTGTTTCCATCTCCATGACCAGACCCTCTACCTCTTACTCCACTGGTGTTTCCATCTCCACGACCCCACCCTCCACCCTTATTCCACTGGTGTTCCCATTTCCATGACCCCGACCCCACCCTCTACCTCTTACTCCACTGGTGTTTCCATCTCCATGACCCCACCCTCTACCTCTTATTCCCCTGCTGTTTCCATCTCCATAACCCCACCCTCCACCCTTATTCCACTGGTGTTTCCATCTCCGTGACCCCACCCTCCACCCTTATTCCTCACTGATTCAGTAATCATGACTTCACGCTGAAGTCATGACTTCCATGACTGCACGCTTTGGTGTTGCTTTTGGTGCTTCTCTCACATATTTTAAACATTGATCCACAGAGCTTTCTTACACATTACACATTATTTTCCTCATTTTATAGATGAATCAACTGAGACACCAAGGAACTGATGGACTTGTCCAATTCACACAGATAGTTAAGGATTGAGGCCAAGACCTCTAGCCTGGAGGTACCTAGCACCTGGAGAGCAGCCTTCCTGGCTTGCTGTTGCCAGTAGTTTCTCCTCTTCAATGGGTCATGCAGAACCTTGGCCTCGTTCACTGCTCATAGCCAGGAGCTATGGACAAAGGCATTCTATTACCTACAGGGATAAGTCCGTTTGTTCCCAGACCAAACTGAGAGTCGGGCTGCTTATTCTCGTGGCCCAATAATGAGATGCAGATAAACTGGGAAAGAAGAGAGCTTATTTCTGTAACCGGGTACAGGGAGAAGGCCTGGAAAATACTGCCAGACTAACCAAAAATTACAAGGTTTACAGAGCTTATATACCTTTTAAGCTATATGTCTGTGTGTACTTGTGCATTCGTGTAAAGACATAAGTGATTAACTTACTCTAATCTGTAACTAAGATCTGAGTTTTGAAGCCCTTCCTCTGCAGCCTCAGTAAATTGACTTAATCTAGACGGGTCTAGGTACCGGGGGTGATTACATTTATCCTGTCTCCTGCTAAATCATGGAGGTTTGGGGAGTTCCTTTAGACCCCCAATAAAACATTTTTTGGAGGTCTGGGGAGTTTCTTCAGCCCCCCAATAACAAGTTGTTTAATCCTAAACAGGTCCTGTTAAGAATTCCTTCATTATTTTGTCGCGCTTCAAGACCTGGGAGAGGCCTGGGCAAAACTCCTGGTGGGCTTTGGTTACATTCCAGCCTTTGTATAAGGACACTGGCTCTCTCAGCTTTCAGTATGTAGCTCAACACTCAGTCAGTGCTGAGACAGTTGTTATGGAGGCCTGCCTGTTCAGCTGTTAGTGACACCTGGCCTGCCACAAAAATCTCCTTGGTTGGCATGAAATAGCCTCTCCAATCTGTCTAATTGACTTATCTGGTCTTCTATCACTCTTTTCAGCTCCTCAGAAACTCTGCTCCCGGCAGATGAGACTAATTTTTGTCCTTCAGCTCCACCTGCACCAATCACCTCCAAATTTCTGCTCATACAGTACCCTCTGCGTAGATGCCTTTCTTCTTCATGCTCGAGTCCCTTATTTTCATGGAGCCTTTCCTGTCTGCTCACACAGATTGTGTGCTCCTGTGTGACAAGAGTGGTCGATTCCGATTGATTTGTCCAGAATTGAACTCCTTGTTTTCCTCATCGCGTGGCCCCCACTTGTTGGAAACCTGAAAAGACTACATTTCCCAGACTCCCTTATGGGTGATGTTGGGAACCTATGACCGTGTTCTGACCAGTGCTGTGTAGATGGAACGCTGGCCACTTCCAGAGTTGACCATAAGACACTACTCTCTTCTTTCCTCCTGTGGGAATCCAGGAACCCACATGTTCCAGGTGGCAGAGTTATAGTATGGAAGCAGCTCCTATCTCTGAGTTACCACTCGGAGGAGACCAACCAAGTAGGGCCACTGAAGGGACAATGACTTCGAATGAGAAAGACGTAAGCTTTATTTTAAGCCACTGAGATTTTGGGTTGCTTGTTATAGTGGCCAGCAAACATTGCTCTGACTAATTTGGCCTGCCTGCCTGGTTTGATATATCTCTCCACCTGGATTTTAGAGTTAATGATTGGCATGCCATTTATTTTTTACCTTTCTCCCTTCCCTATTTCTTTTCTCATTTTCTCCTTTATTTTCTTCATTCCCCATTTAATTTTTTGTTTTCTCGTTTTTTCTCCCCAGCATCTTTGAGGGCCCTATTTAATCTTAATTGAGAAATCACCAGGGAGACAAATTCTACTAATTGCAAAAATTGAATAAAAAATGGTCTGAGCTTTCAAGAAAGTGCCTGTTTAGTAAGAATTTTATAGTCTAGTAGTTGCTAACAATTTAAGCTGTTTGTCCCTCCATTACTCAGTTGTCCGGGCAAAACAAATGGTCAGAGACCAGTCACTGAATGCGGATTAGGGCTTTCCAGGTTCTCAGGACTTCACTGGTCTTGCATGATGTTGTAGGAATGGTGAGGTGGGGCCAAAATTTACTTTCTGATCAAACAGCCCATGTGTTCATTGGTTAGGTAATAAATATGATTAAGCCTCTACAGCCCTATAGGCTGCAGCACAGAGGAATTACAGGTAATCTTGATTTAGAGAGTGTGTTTGGGTAAGTGTTCCAGCTTATTTGCATAGCAAAGGGCTCTGCTGGGGCCACTGACTTTGTTCTCTGTGAACTCCCAATTCTCTGGGAAGCAGATAATATAGATTCCTCTGCTGTTATCAATTTCCAGTTGCATTCTTCCAAAGCACCAGGAGATTTGTGTTTGGCCATGATTTCAGTTGGCATACTTTGGCCCTGGGGTGATTTCTCATCATTATGATGTCAGCCTCCATTTTCATGCCAATGATACAGTTATACCTGTTTTTGGTTTTTGACATCCCTTCCCTTTCTTTGTCTGGCAGGCATTAAATCATTAATGTTTCAAAATCACATACAGCTGAAACTTTGTAAAACAGCATTTCTAGTAATGAGCTCCTTAAAATTGCAGAGACAATCCAGTCCTCTCTTTTTCTTGGCCTCCGCTGACCTCCAATTTCACTTCAAACGAGGATGCAGGGGGTTATCTTTGATTGATAATTATTTTTCCTGATCTAAGATGTATGAAAACCTGTCTTTTATCATGCAAACCTTGCTAGAATGCAGGTATTTCTCTCCATTACTAATGCAGGGAGATTTTCGTCATGATTTATGTCTTTCAGATTAAATTACTGGGAAACATGGCCCTTCCTGAAGGCTGGCTATCTCTACAGCAAAAATCGCTCCTTTGCTTTGACAGTCATGATACATCATTGCACCTCTGGCTAATTAGCAGCTTCTTCCCTGGTCTTATTTTTCCACTATGGGGATGTTTGCAAAACTTTTTTTCATGTCAAGCTTCCATTTTACCTTACCAAGCACTTCACCTAACTGCTGAAGTTTATCATTCACCAGGGAGACACTGCTGGAAACCCCCAGGAATCCCAGAGCGACTGTCACTGTATGATTTAGGAGACAGTCACGGAAAATGAGAAGAAGAACGTAAGCAGCTAACCATCATGACACGCACAGAACTCACATACATACTCGGTGGCAGACACAGCGGTGCCCTCGGATTAGCTCGTTTAATTCTTGCTACAACTTCGTGAGCTACAATCGGTTGAGAAATCTGGTTAAGAATTTAGAGATTAAATAACTTGCTAAAGGCCATAGAGCTAAAAAGCAGCAGATATGGGTTCAAATACAGGCATGTCTGACTTTGGTCACTGTAAGGGAGTAGCTGATTCTGTTCTAACCCCAATGCCAACACCAACAGAAATGCTCACTTAAACCATGGAAAGATCATTAAACATAACTAACAACGGGGGAAGTGCAGATGTATTTTGTGATGTGCAACCACAGATTTCAGAAGCCACTCCTATTAATATCTTATTTGTCATGAGTATAAAACTTCTAAGAATATAAGCACATTATTATATTGATTGTCACACAGAGCACAATGCAGAATTTAGTGGGGATGAATGTAATTAATCTATGAGGCTACGCCATGCCATGCCTGTGACTGGTGGTGGGGGGTCAGGAGTCTGAACAAACTGTGTGCTAAAAATGGGGAGAGAGAGAAGGAAGGAAAGAGAGAAAGAGAGAGAGAGGTGGGTACTTGTAATGTACAGAGTACAGGTCTGGCCTTCCCCTCACCCCTCAGGGCCCCTTAAGTGAAGGGGAATGGGGAAGTGAGAATGAATGTCTTCAAGAGCCCACCAGGTAGCGAATGGGAGGAATGAAGGGCCAGGGCCAGGGCCAGGGCCTCCCCCACTGCATGGGAAACCACACTTGTCATGGGAGGAGCTTCTCCTTTATGGATACTTTGAGACTCTGCATTATTTTCTAATTCAGGATAATAAATCCAGCTCCCTCATGACTTTCCCTCATATTATCTGCCTTTCGTAATCCCTTGTGTCATGTTACATGTCACTTCTCTTCCTAATCTCCATGCTCCAGAACCCCCCAGGAATTGTCATTTGTGAATCCTTGGTTAATTAAGTCTTTTAATGTCTTTGTTTTTATATCTCTTTTCTATTTCATAGGAATAGAACATAAGATATTATATATATGTAATATATATAAAATTATGCTCACACACATGCACACACATGTTGTACTAAATGTAAGAAGCACTTTGACCTCTGCAATTGAAAAGTACTTTATGAGGTGACAGAATTTTCTGTTAGGCTTTGCTGAGCCTATTCACACGTCTGAGGTGACCTATTTTTCTGACTGTGTCTCAACACTGGCACTGATATGTTTTTCCAAGGATTTTTCATTGATATTTAAAAACTATTGTTACACTCCCTTTCTGCTTTAGTAAACAGATGATAATACAAACTTTCCTTACTATTTCAAGTCCACCATTACAACTTACTCTCCTATACTTTAAATGTAGGTTTTTGGCTGATTCTACCA
This sequence comes from Homo sapiens, assembly GCF_000001405.40. Taxonomy (NCBI): domain Eukaryota; kingdom Metazoa; phylum Chordata; class Mammalia; order Primates; family Hominidae; genus Homo; species Homo sapiens. Next base: position 15,998 of record NT_187508.1, on the reverse strand, counting down.
TATTGTGTTCCCTTAAGTAAGTTCTGGATTAATTTTTTTTCATTTGCTTTTTTCTCATAAATGTACAATGAGAATGAGCAGCTGCAGGGCTTCCCGGGCATCAAAGCATCTCAGCCGTCAAAAGTCACCATATTCTCCAAGAGTGACGTCTTCTCAAAGTCACCATATTCTCCAAGAGTGACATCGTCTTTCAGTCACCTCCTTGTGCTTCACCCCACCACACTCCTGCCTTCTTTAGCACCTGTGTTTGGACGGCCCTCATGGCCTCCATATTCTCCAAGAGTGACGTCGCCTTCTCAGTCAAAGTCACCATATTCTCCAACAGCGACGTCGTCTTCTCAGTCACATCCTTGTGCTTCACCCCGCCACGTTCCCGCCTTCGTTAGCATCTGTTCACCCCGCCACATTCCCGCCTTCGTCAGCATCTGTTCACCCCGCCACGCTCCCGCCTTCGTTAGCGTCTCTTCACCCCGCCGCGCTCCCGCCTTCCTGAGCGTCTGTTCACCCCGCCGCGCTCCCGCCTTCGTCAGCGTCTGTTCACCCCGCCGCGCTCCCGCCTTCGTCAGCGTCTGTTCACCCCGCCGCGCTCCCGCCTTCGTCAGCGTCTGTTCACCCCGCCCCGCTCCCGCCTTCGTCAGCGTCTCTTCACCCCGCCCCGCTCCCGCCTTCGTCAGCGTCTCTTCACCCCGCCGCGCTCCCGCCTTCGTCAGCGTCTCTTCACCCCGCCGCGCTCCCGCCTTCGTCAGCGTCTGTTCACCCCGCCGCGCTCCCGCCTTCGTCAGCGTCTGTTCACCCCGCCGCGCTCCCGCCTTCGTCAGCGTCTGTTCACCCCGCCGCGCTCCCGCCTTCGTCAGCGTCTGTTCACCCCGCCGCGCTCCCGCCTTCGTCAGCGTCTGTTCACCCCGCCGCGCTCCCGCCTTCGTCAGCGTCTGTTCACCCCGCCGCGCTCCCGCCTTCGTCAGCGTCTGTTCACCCCGCCGCGCTCCCGCCTTCGTCAGCGTCTGTTCACCCCGCCGCGCTCCCGCCTTCGTCAGCGTCTGTTCACCCCGCGGCGCTCCCGCCTTCCTCAGCGTCTGTTCACCCCGCGGCACTCCCGCCTTCCTTAGCATCTGTTCACCCCACCGCGCTCCTGCCTTCGTTAGCATGTGGCTTGTCTGGACGGCCCTCAGCCTCCTTCCATTTCAGCATTGTCATCATCACAGTGCTGTGCTACTTGCCTTATTTTTCTCCTTGACGTCTCCCTTGGCTGATTTTTCTTCTCTCTGAATCATTTAAACACATTTCGTCCCCGCTATTTGATCCTATTGTGTCTCTTCCTCTACTTGAAAAATTCTCCCTAAAATGGGTCCTCAGGACTTCTCTCTTGAGTCTATATATTGTCTGTGATTTTTGCACTTTATGTATATGCACCTCTGATAAAGAATTTCCTTTGAAGTCTAATCAGCAGCGTCTCCTTATGCAGTGCACCCTCTTTCTTCATCTGGGGATGGAGTGCTCCTCCACAGTAAGCTATGGTGTCTGGCTATCCAGCAGCTGGCTTCAAGCATGGGACTCTGAGGGGACTCCTCTTTGGTCTTCCCATTATTTCACATATTTACACAGTGCAGAGGGATTCTTCCTGGTCCACGGGTCAGAGAGGAGAATTCTAGTGTACTGCATCTAGTCCTTTCACTCGTATCCAGGTTCACCTGGGCTGCTAACCCACTTCCTAATTGACATAAATGGATCCTGGCTGTGCTCATGGCTAGCTGCGCCTTTCACCTGTGAAATTTCGTTACGGGAGTTTGTGAAGTAGCCATTTCTCGGAGGCAAAGACAGAATTGTCCCAGAAATACAGAACACTTGTTATTAGACGGGCTTTTACAATTTAATTCTTGGAATGTTGCTCTCCATTGAAGAATAGTTAATCATTGGTAGAGACATGTCAGTCACACACTGCAGCTTATATACAGTCATGTGTAGCTTAATGACCAGGATTTGCTCTGAGAAGTGTGTCCTTAGGTGATTTCATCATTGTGCAAACATCATAGAGTGTCCTTGCCTAAACCAGGATGGTAGAGCCTCTCACACACCTAATCTGTATGATAAAGTCTATTGCTCCTAAGCTACAAGCAGCAGGGTACTGTACTGAATACTGTAGGCAGTTGTAACACAATGGTAAGTATTTGTGTATCTAAACATAGAAAAGGTACAATAAAAATACAGTACTATAATCTTACGAGACCACTGTTGTACATGTGGTCTGTCATCGACTGAGACGTCATGGGGCACATGACCATATTACATGTTTTAGAATCAAGATTAGACTCTAAGCTTTCCAACAACCCTATTGTCCTGTTACTTGTTTCAGGGCTCAAAAACATTGTTGAGGCTGTGGCATGTTTTGTGCTATATAATCTGCTCATATTCCCTCAGATTTCTCTTGTGAAAAACTGTCCATGGCTTTGTTCTTGGACATGCTGAGCCACAATGTGGAACTTTCCCATAATTTACTATGCCAGTCACTGCAGCCCTTCTGAGAGGCTGGAGAGAACTCTGTTTCTTTTTCTGTTGTTTTTTTTTTCTATTGATATTTTGTTAAAAATGTAGGTAGACTTTCCCATCTTAAACTGATAGCAAAAAGAAGAGGCAAATAACAGAAGGAACTATCAACCACTGTTGTTGTTTCCATTCATGCTTATTCTTTATGAAATGTTTCTGTGCATGGAGGGAAAAAGGCTCTGAGAATACAGCTAGAACCCACCATGCCCACGGAGACACTGGCTGTTTCCTGGCATTCTCTTTGGTGGTGGGAAGCATCTTTTCCCAGACTCACCTATGGTGACACAGACTCAAGTTTGAAAGCATCAGCACTGTTTCTGTCCCAACACCTGCCTTTTTCGGGAATCACACATATTGTTAGTGTTGAGATAACACATTTTGAACCTTTATTTTTATTTTCTGTGTGCCTTTATTGCCCAGAAAGTGTGTGTGTGAGTGTCTGTCTGTCTGTCTGTCTACGGTGAGGGGAGGTGGGAAGAGGGAGAGGGCAAGGAAGGAGAAGGAAGCAAAGACACTTAAGAAACATCACTTGCTTTGAAGTTAGTGCAAAACTAATATTTTGGGTAAAAAGCTTTTCCTTTGCCAGAGCAAATATTTGATTGCTTCAATTCTTCTAAAATATTCTATTTTCTTCTTGTTTCAGCATCTAGTAAATTTTGGGCAGTCCTATTTAGCAAAAGAGAATGAATCCAATCAGCATGTCTCAGAAGGTACAGCAATAGGGTTGGAGGAAAAATAATGTATGAGAAAAGTGAACTGCAGTGTGCTTTTAACTCATTTATAACAGTTAATCAAACTAAATATCTGACTGGCAAATTAACCACTTTGAAGATATTTTGTCACGAGAGTGATGGTGGCGAAAGGTACAGGTGATACCTTGTATGTGCCAGTCAGCCATTTATCTTACTGGCCAGCCAGAAAATGGCTTTCATTAGTTATATAGTTTTATGGAACTAAACTCATTTCTTTGAGGTGTGATGGCACAATAAAGAGAATATTCCCATGCGACTGAGGCCAATCTTCTGTTTTGCCCAATAGGCCACTTTCCGAGTGATAGCATTTTCAAAATTTGAGGTTTGTAGGGCCAGTCGCTGAGGCCGATGACTGCAGTCAGGTCCCTTTTCCTTTGTTTGGGTCAGTGGCCCTGAGGTGAGCTGTGCTGCTCTGGTTCTTGTTTGGTTTATACACGATGGCATCCTCTGTTCAGGTCTAAGGTTTCATGTCTTCACCAGTAGAAACAGGATACCTTCTCAATTTTTAAATTAGAACTGCAAGTTTAATTCTTTATCAAACCATCTAAATATGATAACCCCAACCAGTAATTAAAATTCCCCCAGTTTAAAAATTGTATTCATCCCTGAGAGGTCTGAGAAACAAAATTTAAAACAAAAATAAACAATTTAAAATTTAAAAGGGAGCTCTCAGATTCTGTCTGTCTAAGCTTCTCATTTTAAAGGTGAAAACAATACAGTTATCACGTACAGCTCTAAAGGTTCTGTTGTCAGTGTTTTATATGTGTATGATGTGGGGTGTGTGGTGTGTGTGTGTGTGTGTGTGTGTGTGTGTGTGTGTGTGTATGAACTGATTCTTGTAAGCTGATGAGGTCGTTATGATTATTTATTTATTTATTTATTTATTTATTTATTTATTTATTTGAGACGGAGTCTCGCTCTGTCGCCCAGGCTGGAGTGCAGTGGTGCGATCTCGGCTCAATGCAAGCTCCGCCTCCCGGGTTCATGCCATTCTCCTGCCTCAGCCTCCCGAGTAGCTGGGATTACAGGCGCCGGACACCAGGCCCAGCTAATTTTTTGTATTTTTAATAGAGACGGGGTTTCACCGTGTTAGCCAAGATGGTCTCGATCTCCTGACCTCATGATCCGCCCGTCTCGGCCTCCCGAAGTGCTGGGATTACAGGCGTGAGCCACCGCGCCCGGCCGAGGTCGTTATGATTATTATTATCCCTGCTTTACAGGTAAGAAACCTAGGCCTCTAGGGGTTCATTTACCTTCCGTGGTCAAAGATCTAGCAGTGGCAGCAGCAGACGCAAGCGCAACCAGGTGTCCTCTGGAGGACTGAGGTCTCCACCACCTTGGAGGAAATCAAGACGCAGAGGAAGGAAGGCTCTTGCCAAGGCCATACAGCTGCTGGTGGCAGCAATTGCACTGAATATTGAAAATACATAAAGAGCAAAATTTAAATAAATAGCTTCATACGGGACAGACCATAATTGATCTTACTTTTCTCTTATTTATCAAGGTTTAGTTTGTTTTCCAATTTTGCTGTTAGAGAAAAATGTCCAGACATCTTTTAAACAAGTCTTGGCCTAAATTTGTTTAGATAAGATTTCTAAAAGGAATAATAATAATAATAATTATATATATATATAGAGAGAGAGAGAGAGAGAGAGAGATGAATCCTCACTCTGTTGGCCAGGCTGGAGGGCAGTGGTGTGATCTCGGCTCACTGCAACCTCGGCCTCCCGGGTTCAAACGATTATCCCACCTCAGCCTCCCAAGTAGCTGGATTACAGGCATGCACCCCATGCCCGAGCCACCATGCCCAGGCAGGAATAGTAATTTATGTCCAAAGTTATACAGAGTCTTACCAAGAATGATTTTACTAAAATTCACTTTTACTAGCACAAGAATGAGCATTTCACTGTACACAATCCGTATTAAATACATTTATTAAAAATAACTGAACAAGCACTCAATAATTTGAGAGGCATTTCAAAATTTGCTGTAATCTGTGTTTAAGTGGTTGTGAGATTAATTTTTGTTTTTCCAAGAATTTTTAATTCAATACCTTTATTCGTTTTTCTTTTCTTTCAAGTTTTTAAAACATAAATCTTATCTATTAAAATATTAACTCTGTGACAGTCACATTCTTTGATTTTCATTCTCTCCAAATACTCTTCTATTCACCCATTCCCTGACTAGGGGTAGAGAGGTCACTTGTATGTGATGTCAGCACCTCTGCTGTCCTTCCTAATGTCTTGCTCCTTGGACTTGTGGACTCACATGGATCTTGGATTATCGGAATGACAGGCCAAGAAGGTAGGATGTGGGACGTTATCTTGGACAGCTTCCAGTAGTTCCACTTGTTTACACACTCTTTCTTTTTGTTCCTTATGCTGCTATTATATTTTTGAAAAACTTGTACTTCATACTGTAAGTAAGTATTTGGATGTCAAGTCTATTGCCCAGTAGGGAGAAACAATGACCTATCGGATATATGTGAATATATACATATATGTATACATATATGTATTTATATTGATAAAGGAAATATCTGTGTGTATATGCATTTGTGTATATATACATACAAATAAATATAAAATAAAAATGAATATATATCTTATGCAAACATATATTTTATAATCTATCGATATATTAATCTAAAATTATCAATTATATATCATAATATATACTGTATAAGTTAGGTATATTAATTATAAATGATTACTATTTAATAAAATTATCTAGATGATATGGTTTGGCTCTGTCCCCACCCAAATCTAATCTTGAATTTTAGTTCCCATAATCCCCATGTGTGGTGGGAGGGACCTGGTGGGAGGTAATTGAATCATGGGGCAGTTACCCTTATGCTGCTGTTCTCAAGATAGTGAGTAAATTCTCATGAAACCTGATGGTTGTATAAGGGGCTTTCCCCTCTTTGCTAGGCACTTCTCTCTCCTACCCCTTTGTGAAGAAGGACGTGCTTGCTTCCCCTTCAGCCATGATTGTAAGTTTCCTGAGGCCTTCCCAGCCATGTGAGTCAATTAAGACAAAAACTTTCCTTATAAATTACCCAGTCTTGAGTATGTTTTCAAAGCAGCATGAGAATGGACTAATACACTAGAATATAAAAATATGAATAAATTTAATAACATTAATATACAACAATAATCATGTATACATACATATCTAAGTGTAAACATAAATATACAGTATTATTTGGGAAAACCTCTCAAACCGTGTTTCTTCTGCTCTGATACCACACATCAACAATCAACATAGAAGATTCTGGGATCCCAAATGTGTGAGGATTTTTTCCCACTGGCAAGCAAACAATCAATTCTGCAGCAGACACCAGGTGAGTGTCCTTCAATTCTATTCCAACATTATCTACCTGGAGACAGCATCAGATTCCACATGTTGGGGGCTCAGTCCCCAAGACTGCCCTCCACCCTGACACTAGTCTCCAGTCTGGGCTTCTGGAGCTTCTGATTAATGGGCTTCAATTTGGGGTTCCCATGACTCCCTCTTTGGCTCAATTAATTTGCTGGAATGGCTCACAGAACCAGGGAAACACTTACTTGCATTTATCAGATTATTATAAAGGATATTGCAAAGGACACAGATGAAGAGATGCGTAAGTTGAGGTATGGGGGAAGAAGCAAGGAGCTTCCATGCTTTTTCTGGGCATCACCCTCTAGGAACCTCCCTGTGTCCAGGTATGTGGAAATGCCCCCAACCTTGTCCTTTCGGGGTTTTATGGAGGCTTCATGACATAGGCATGACTGATTAAACCATTGGCCATTGGTGCTCAACTTGACCTTCAACCCCTCTCCCCTCCCAGGAGGTTGATGGGTGGGTCTGGAAGTCCCAACCCTCTAATCCTTCCTTGGTCTTTTTGGTGACCAGCCCTACCTTGAAGCTATTAGTCAACATTAGCATGCAAAAAGACAGCACTTAGAGATTCTAAGGACATTAGGAGTTGTATCTCAGGCAGGGGGAAAACAGAAGGAAGGCCAAATATATATTTCACAGCATCACAAGTGCATATGATATAGGAGTTGAAAAGAAATTACTTAGTCAGTTAGTGAGGGTACAGAAGTCCTCAGTAAAGTTTTCCTTTTAATCAAAAGTGGCCCCCAAATCATTATTTTTCTAACAAAGAGCAGCCTGTAAAATCAAGCTACAGACATAAACAAGCAAGCTGAAAGCTTGCATGGGTGAATGCCAGCAATTGTGCCCATAGTTATGTACTACCTGGGCTAGGCATGTTCAAAATGGTGGCTCCATTTTCTCTTTTTGCCAGCCACTCTATTGTAAGGAGCAGACAAGATGGTGAAGGTCAAGTGGAAAGTCCATTTGCATAATAAGATTAGGGTGGGACTACCAGCCTTCCCCGCCTGCTATGTAAACGTCCCACCTGGTCAAGCCAATCCATGAGCCCTAGGGAAAGCAGACACCACCTCCTCAAGCCTACCTATAAACTCTGCTGTGGTCTGACACTGTCCCCCTTTCTGACACCTCTCTCTCACAAGGAGCTGCTCTCCTCTCTCCTTTCTTCTGCCTATTAAACTTTCCACTCCTTAACCCACCCACATGTGTTCATGTCCTTAATTTTCTCAGCACAAGAGGATGAACCCCTGGTACTTACCACTGACAATGATGCTGCTTCACATATAATGTAAATATATATTTAATAACCTACATATTTCTACATATATTGATGTGTACACACACACACACACACACACACACACACACACACTCAAATGTGGGCCATTACAGATGTTAATTTCTAAAAGAATGGTGCAGACAAATGCCGCGATTGAGGAGAGAGTGCTTTGAGCTTGGGGCTGGACAGGCTTAGCCTGGCACGAGCACTTGCAGCCTTGCACTGAGGAATGGGAAGTCCCCACAGACTGAAAATCTTCAGGGAGGACATCCTTAATAAGTTCAGCCAACTTTTTTCTGAGCATATCTTTCCCACCAAAAATCACTTTCCAAAGGTTCGTGTCAGGTAACGAACACAGCACGTTCTCGAGAGAATAAGCTAGTTTGAATTAGAGGGTTAATTTAGGTGAACAGTGGCAAAATTGTGGCAATAGTGAGTTGCGTTTTGAAGTGTTGTAATTTTTGACTTGTTAAATAGGTTTTAACCTTTGGCAGGAGTAAAGAGCCATTGGAGGTTTTTCTGGAGGAGACTGACCTGCACAAATTATTTTTGTAATAAAGAATTACATTAGAAATAGAAGTTAGATGGACTGAGACAAAAACTTGAGACAGGGAAGCTAAAGGAGAGTGGGTGGCATTATCCTGGGTGAACCGCAAGGAGGGTGTCGGGGTGGCTGTGTGAGGCATCCCTAGAGGAGGGCTGGGAGCTGACTGCATGCTGGGATTCAGATGGGAAGAGTCAGATGACTCCATGTTTTATAAACATGTAGTTGACAGAAATAGCACAGTCAAGAAGGAACTTTGGCTTTGAGGAAAATACATGATCTATTTTGTGTAGGCAAAGCAGAGAATCAGGTGAAAAGCTATCACCTTCTTTTAACTTGTTAACAACTCTTATAAAATCTGCCAGGGACAGGGACATAAATGATGGTAATACACATAATTATTATGGGGTTTTAGGAATCTGTGTTTCTCTTTTCCCTATTAATTCTGAAATATGGCGAGGCTGTGTTCAGATTTCAAAGAAGCACTAATTCTCTCAGGTCATTCTTTACAATCTGCGGCCATATTTTTCCACTAGAGCAAACCATTTCCTTTTTACCGGCTTTTTCCCTCCCTCCCTCACTCCCTTTCTCCCTTTCTTTTTTTCTCTCTTTCTTTTCATCTTTCTCTTTCTCCTTTCTTTTCTTTTGGTCTTTTTTCTCTTTCTTTCTCTTTCCCTTCTTTCCTTCCTTCTTCCTTGATTCCTTCCTTCCTTCCTTCCTCCCTTCCTTCTTTTTTCTCTTTCTTCTTTAGAATACATTCAACTCTGGTTTACACGCCCTAAGAGTTAATAGTATTTAAAAGTTGATACCCTTATTTAGTCAAAATAACAGTTGGGACTGGTTTAGTTTCTAACACAGGTTTCCCTCTTGTCTCCATTGGCAATATTGGTTGACAAATTGTCATAGTGCCTAAACTAATGAAATAGCTCTTTATGATTTTGGAGGAGACACCCTACAGAATTTGTATCAAATGAATTGTAACTCCTAAAGGTTTACTGTGCTTTTTGGAGGTGCTATATAAATGCCAGAGCCTCAGGGCAAGATCACTTATCATCTAAGGTGGGCTAGGGAGATCCTTCAGCTATTCCTGCTTCAGGAGAAAGGAAGCTGGCTTGAATAACCCACACACCAAGGTTCATAGTTGATTATTATGTCATATCTGAAGATAGAATGTTTTGGTTTTATTTGCTAGAGTAAATAATCAAGCAACAAAAGTGTGAAGGGGACTCCCTTTAATTGCTTCCACCCTCTACCATAGACCTCTTAATAAGACAAGAACATAAAAAAGTAAACAATATTTTAATTTCAAATTTCTGGTTAACAAAAAAATATTGGAAATTCTTACTATTGGGAAGAGAATTTCTACTTCCATGTCCTGGAAACATAACAAAGGCAAAAAAAGAATATTTGGGACAATGTTTAAGTTTTACATTTTTCCAACTTAATAATGAAGCAGTGACATTGTCTGGTGTAAATACCTGGGGTTCATTGTCTCATGCCAAGAAAATTTAGGGCACAGACACTCATGGAGGAGTTTAGGAGTAGAGGTTTAATAGGCAGAAAAAAGAGAAAGGAGAATAGCTCTCTCTCCGGTGAGAGAGACAAGGGCTTCTGAAAGGGAAAGACTGGCCAATGGCAGAGTGCGCCAAGTTTTATAGACAGGTTTGAGAAGGTAGTGTCCAACTTATGTAGGACCCACAGATTGGTTATATCAGGTGTGAGGTTTACATAGCATGAGGAGAAGGCTGGCCGCCCCACCCTAACATTATTATGCAATTGGGCTTTCCACTTGACCGGTGCCATCTTGTCTGCTCCTTCCTGTACACGTGGTTGGCAAAGGGAAAGGGAGATGGAGCTGCCATTTTGAACATGCCTAGTCCCCGTAGGTTTTTCCTGCTGACCTTCACCCGTGCAAGCTTGCAGCTGGCTTGTCTATGTCTGCAGCTCCATCTTACAGGCTGCTCTTCTTAGAAAGTGACTTTGGGTCTCCTTTTCACTAAAAAAGAAAACCTTTACCGAGCACTTTTGTACCCTCACTATCTGCTCAAGTAATTTCTTTTTAACTCCTATATCAACAACAGGACTAAACAATGAATTGTAACATTTTAAAGTCAGGGTTGATTAAGGTATAATTTACATATGGTGACGGGTTCTTGATATACTACCCCAAAATACGTTACCTTGGCACTTGGGGAAATGGCAGATGCAGAAAGGTCACTCTCACCTTTCCTTGCTCGTCTCCCATGAAACAGGTCATAAAATAACTCTCTGACCTTCCTCTAAAGTAGAAAATAAAACCTTCACTTCAGGGCTGCCCTCCCTATGTCCTAGGAAAGGAACATCTCTATCCTTCAAGACACAGAGCTGTCAAGTAGAATCTGAAGAAACAGGCCTTGCTCAAGTTACCCCAATTTATTACTATTATATCAAGGCTTTTGGCCTCCAATCATATTTCTCTACTATACACTTCTTCACCAAATTTAGCATAAAAATACACAGGTTTTGCTGTTTTGTTAGGCCTTCACTTGTGAAGTCTTCACGTTATGTGTAACTTGTGTTAAATAAATATGTATGCCTTTCTCTTGTTAATCTTGTGTTTTCGACTCTCAGTTATGAACCTAACAATGAAAGAGGAAAACAAATCCTTATCGTACTTCACGATCGCCGCAGTCATGATGCAGAATGTGTCCGTCATCCCCAATTTTCCCTGCCTCATGGCAGGCGGTCGTCTTTCCTGAGACCCAGCCCTGCAGCCACTCGTCTGCTTTCTGTTCCTAGTGTTGCCTTCTCTAGAATGGCATCTAAATGGAAACACAGTCTGTGCCTCGTTTCTTTCATGTAGACTAATATTTTTGATATTCATTCGTTCTTGATCGTATCAGTAGTTGTTTCCTTTTCATTGCTTCGTAGAGTTCAGGTGTATAAATGTACCAGAATTTATTCACCAGTTGATGGAAATTTTGATTTTTTTTTCTTTTCCTCCAGTTTTTGGCTAGTGTGAATAAACCCACTGTAATATTTGCATGCAAGTATTTATGGGTACATATGTTTTCATTTCTCTTGGGCAACTATCCAGGAGTGTGATTGCTAAGTCTTACAGGAAATATACGTTAAACCGTATAAGAAACTGACAAACTGTTTCCAAAGTGGTTATACCATCTTGCATTCCTACAAGCAATTTATGAGAATTCCAGTTACTCCTCATCCTCATCAGCATTTGGTATTTTCCACGTATTATAAATTTAATTAGTATTCTATGCATTGTTTCAAATATTATATATAACCTTGTGGGTTCTGTCCAGCTGCAGAGAATTATTATTATGGCCAATCCAAATCCTCTAGCTCAATTTTCATTATAGTTTGGAGGACAGGTTAGTGTTATGGAAATCATTATTTGCTTCTGCTTAGAGCAAAGGAATTAATTACAGCTCCTATTAGAAATTTTTTCTTCCTTTTATTAAACCAATATTGATTGATCGCCTATCATATGACAAATACAAATAACATGTGATTCCTGCCTTCTGGGAATTCATGTTCCTGTGAGGGAGGTGGACCAATAAATACAATTGCAATATAATGTGGTTCATGCTAAATCTCAGAGGGGGAATGGCTACTCAGTTCAGCATGAGGCCTTTAGGTGTTATTAGTATTTCTCATATCTAAAAGCAGAACTGACTCTGGAATGGCAGGAAAATTGTTGAAGTTCATGTGGCTGAGAGGTTTTCATTCCCCCCTGACACCAAAGATGTGGTATCTTTTTCAGCATGGATTCTCCAATTCTCCAACATCAACTGAGTGTTCAACGATTCGATTCCATTCTGACACTTGGTTCCACAAGACTGTCTCCATTTCAGATGCCAGGCTACCCACATTTTTGTCTGGCTGACTACAAATCTGGAGGCTCCCTTGACATCTCCTAAATCTGGAGGTTCCCTTGACATCTCCTTGTGCAGGTTTCAAAACTCACTAGAATGACTCACATAACTCAGAGAAAGCATTACTTACTATGATTGGTTTACTATGATGAATGTAGCTCAGGAATAGCCACATGCGACAGATGCACAGGGTAAGGGATCAGGGGAATGTGTGTGCGTGGGGCTCCCACATGCTCCCTGGATGTGCCGCCCTTCTAGCATCCTGATGGGCTCCTCAGCCTGGAGCTTCTCCAAACCCCATTGTTTATGGGTTTTAATGGAGGTTTCATTACATAGCATAATTGATCAAATTATTAACCATTGGTGATTGAACTCAATCTCCAGCCCCTCTTCCCTTTTCAGAGGTAGGGGAAGTCCAGCTGAAAGTTCCAACCTTCTAACCGCTTGGTTGGTTCCTCTGGCAACCAGCCCCTATCCTGAATCCATCTAGGGGCCCAGCAAGAGTCACCTCCTTAACATAGACTCAGTATTGTTGAAAAGGGCTTATTATGAGTAACAAAAGATACTCCTATCACTCCAGAAATGCCAAGGGTTTTAGGAACTCTATGCCAGGAACCAGTGTCAATGATCAAATATATTTTCTACTATACCATAGGAAGTCTAGCTTATCATCGAAAAAAATCATTCATGACATTTGTTAAAACAATAAGGCCGAATTCATTCAGGGGGATTATCTTGATAGGTAAAGAGACCACTGCCATGGGGTTTTACAGTAGGGAGAGAAATTGGACTCAGCTCTAAATCTATCAGAGACAAGTGAGGTTTTACAGCCAAGGGTGGGAGTCAGTAGGTGCCAAATTATGAAGAAAAAACCTCAGGAGTACAGGGGATTCTGTCTGAACTTATTCAGAATCCTGCAGGCACTAGAGTGCTGAGATATCACCTGGGGATGGTGGGGGAGTGAGGACATTGCTCAGAACACACGTTGAGTGCAGGAGGTTCTGTGGGGAGTGAGGAAATTGATCAGAACACTTGTTGAGGGCGGGAAGTTCTGGCTAAACTGACTTAGCAGGTTTCTGGCTCTTGGCTCTTGAGGACAAGGCCCAAGGATGAGACCTTGTTGAAAAAGTAGCTCAGAGGAGCCTGACTAGAGTTTGGTCAAGAAGAGAATCTTTGTTGCTATTTGACCCAAGGTTTATAGTCATTTGTCCCGAGCTCATTTCTTCATGGTAGTCTGTGTAGCTACTGAAAATGAGTTGGTTTCTAGTTTGGCCACCAATTCTCTTAACTCAAGCACAGCACTGGTAACATTTAGAAAGGGCTGGCACATATATCCTTTCATCCGACTGTGGCACCGACTGGCATCTCCAGGCTTCTGCGTGTGCTTAAATCTTTGTTATACATTTATTATAGGACATTCCATGGTTTATATGTTTTTATACTAAAATCTATATGCTTATCTGTGTGACTTCCTTTTGGGCAGAGACTGAATCACATTAATCTTTATGTCTTCCACTTTTAGTAAAGGGACCACCTTAATATGTGTTAAATGCAAAAATGAAATGCATCAATTTCCTGATCTCTAAAGCAGAACTAATAATTTATATGACCAGGAATCAAAATAATGTAAATGATTTGGGAGGCTTTAGTGCACAGAGAACAAGTCTGCATAACCACAGCAAAGCAAAATGTTTAATAGCCTTGTTCTGATAATTTAGGTAAGATATATGTGTTTTGATTCAGATAATCACCTGAATTTTCCAGTTTGTTTGAATGAGAAACTTATTGAAAAGAGAGACAATGATCACAGGAATAATATTAAAAAATGTAGGGAGAGTCGTGGGGCATTTTTGTTCACTTTACAAAACAGTTTGTAATTTGAGGGCAAATCTCTTAGATCTGTGGATGGAAACATTGTCTTCAACATAAACATTTTTTTTTTGAGATGGAGTCTTGCTCTGTCGCCCAGGCTGGAGTGCAGCGGCACAATTTTGGCTCAGTGCAACCTCCCCCTCCTAGGTTCAAGAGATTCTGCTGCCTCAGCCTCCTGAGTAGCTGGGATTACAGGCACACACCACCATGCCAAGCTAATTTTTTTATTTTTAGTAGAGACAGGGTTTCACCATGTTGACCGGGCTGGTCTCGATCTCTTGACCTTGTGATCTGCCCGCCTGGGCCTCCAAAAGTGCTAGGATTACAGGCATGAGCCACCACGCCTGGCCAACATAAACATTTTTAACATTTATGTTTGTGTTTAATATCCAGAAAATAATATTTGTCAGAGTTATTGGCCAATGGGTTCTACTCGGTGACAACGGAACCATTCCGTTTCATGTGATTCATTTATAGAGTTCCTCTAATATAGCACGTTCTACTCAGTGACAATGGAACCATTCCGTTTCATGTGATTCATTATAGAGTTCCTCCAACATAGCAGGTTCTACTCGGTGACAACGGAATCATTCTGTTTCATGTGATTCATTTATAGAGTTTCTCTAACATAGCAGGTTCTACTCAGTGACAACGGAACCATTCTGTGTCATGTGATTCATTTATAGAGTTCCTGTAACATAGCAGGTTCTACTCGGTGACAACGGAACCATTCTGTTTCATGTGATTCATTATAGAGTTCCTCTAACATAGCAGGTTCTACTCGGTGACAAGGGAACTATTCTGTTTCATGTGATTCATTATAGAGTTCCTCCAACATAGCAGGTTCTACTCTGTGACAATAGAATCATTCTGTTTCCTGTGATTCATTATAGAGTTCCTCCAACATAGCAGGTTCTACTCTGTGACAATAGAATCATTCTGTTTCCTGTGATTCATTTATAGAGTTCCTCCAACATAGCAGGTGTGCTTACCACAACACTCTCTCTTCCCTGCATCTGTGCACCTGCAGGAGTTTTGAGTACAATAGAGCAGGGGCAGTTAACGTGGCATTTCTTCCTCCCATTTTTCATGAGGGTTTTGAATTTTATTAGAAGTTCGTCAGGTACTATTTTCTGATTTTTTTAATGTAAAAGCCTTCTTTTAGATGTTTTGTTTGCTTACCTGTGCTTCCTTGCTTGATTGCGGTTCTTACACATCAGGATCTTGAATGGGTTTTCAGAGATTTACTTTGAGATCTGTTTCTCAAGCTCATTGACAGTTAGTTACTCTTGATGTCTCCCACTTTGTTAAATTTAGATGAAAATTCTCCTTGATTTGTTTTATTTTGTATTCAGTCACCCTTTGACTGAATACAAAACATTTTGAAACAAACATTTATTGTTTTCTAAGTTAAATGTTTTCTTTATTATTTTTCCTCATGGACAGGGTGCTTTGTTTCCCACTGCTTACATTGAGGGTTGAAATTCAGAACAGAAACAGTAAATCTTTCCAGTTCCACAGGAACGAGAATGGCAACGACATATATGAGGCCACGGTGGAGAAATAATGGGAAACATTTGAAACTTTAAGAATAAGACAACTGTAAGGGTTTATCACTTGTCATATTCTGTTTGGTATTGACAAGATACAACCAAAGGGATCCTCATCTGCTATGGTATATGGGAAGTTTATACACATTAGAGGAATGAGCAGGAGCAGAATGGAGTAAAGAAAGAATTTAGGGCGTTTAGGTGTTC